>NC_000010.11:13191818-13343333 GCF_000001405.40 Homo sapiens | reverse complement strand
CAGCTGATGGCCAAGCTGTGGAGAAATACCATGTGAGCGAGCTGGGTTTGATGTTGGCTTATTTGTCGAGAAATGAGAATATACTGAGGAAGCTGTTAGATAACTGTCAAGAAAAAAAGCTATTAATACTTAATGCTCAAAAACCAATGAAATTAAAACATTACGGCATAAAGTAAGAATTACTATTTATAACTTCCTCTGGCACAGTTACTTACTAGTCACTCATATTATGTCATGAATGTCACCCAGCCCTCCTGAGCCTCAGCTTCCTAATCTATAAAATAATAATTACTGTTTGGGGTTGGGTGCGGTGGCTCACACCTGTAATCCCAGCACTTTGGGAGGTCAAGATGGGCAGATCACTCAAGGTCAGGAGTTCAAGACCAGCCTGGGCAAAATGGTGAAACCCATCTCTACTAAAAATACAAAAGTTACCTGGGCTTGCTGGTGTACACCTGTAGTTTCAGCTACTCGGGAGGCTGAGGTGGGAGGATCCCTTGAGCCCGGGAGGCAGAGGCTACAGTGAGCTGAGGTCACACCACTGTACTGCGGCCTGGGAGACAGAGTGAGACCCTGCCTCAAAAAAAAAAAAAAGATTACTGTTTTGCATTGTTGTACCAAAAATGTGTGTAGGTGTGCCATGTATGTCTGTACTTACATATATAATACATGTATGTGTATACCCTCTGTACACAAGTATATATGGTATATATGTATGGGTGTTTTTGACCTTTTTTTTGTTGTTGTTGAGATGAAGTCTCACTGTGTCGCCCAGGCTGGAGTGCAGTGGCACAATCTCAGCTCACTGCAACCTCCGCTTCCCAGGTTCAAGCAGTGATCTCCTGCCTCTGCCTCCCAAGTAGCTGGGACTACAGGCGCATGCCACCACACCCAGCTAAATTTTTTTGTGTTTTTAGTAGAGACGGGGTTTCAAGGTGTTGGCCAGGCTGGTCTCAAGCTCCTGAGCTCAGGTTATCCACCCACCTCAGCCTCCCAAAGTGCTGGGATTACAGGCGTGAGCCACCGCACCCGGCTGTATGTTTATTTTTTTAACTTTTTTTTTTTTTGAGACGGAGTCTCGCTCTGTCGCCCAGGCTGGAGTGCAGTGGCGCGATCTCCGCTCATTGCAAGCTCCGCCTCCCAGGTTCACGCCATCCTCCTGCCTCAGCCTCCCGAGTAGCTGGGACTACAGGCGCCCGCCACCATGCCTGGCTAATTTTTTGTATTTTTAGTAGAGACGGGGTTTCACAGTGGTCTCGATCTCCTGACCTCGTGATCCGCCTGCCTCGGCCTCCCAAAGTGCTGGGATTACAGGCGTGAGACACCGCGCCCCGCCATCTTTTTTTTTTTTTTTTCCTTGAGATAGAGTCTCACTCCATCACCCAGGCTTGAGTACAGTGGTGCAATCTCAGCTCACTGCAACCTCTGCCTCCCGGGTTCAAGGCCCTCCCAGGCCTGATTCTCATGCCTCAGCCTCCCTCCAAGTAGCTGGAATGACAGACGTGCACCACCACACCCAGCTAATTTTTTTGTATTTTTAATAGAGTTAGGGTTTCACTATGTTGGTCAGGCTGGTCTGGAACTCCTGACTCTAAGTGATCTGCCCACCTCGGCCTCCCAAAGTGCTGGGATTAAAGGCATGAGCCCCCGCGCCCGGCCTGTTTATGTTTTTAACTTTTTTCTAATTGAATGTCATGTTTTCTGGCTTCAAAAATGGTGTTAATTGAAGGGTTAACCAAAACAGCTTTTAAATGTACACACGATTACTAAATGTATCCTAATTAAAGAAATGGTAAAAGAAGTGTGCCTTAGAACCAGAGACATTTGTTGCCTGGTGCCTAGGAGCTATCAAGTAATGATTGCTGCTGCTGGCGGGGGCGGTGCAGGGGTTGGGGGTGGGTAGTGGTGTGATAACTTAGGTTGTCTTTCTGATGGAGGATGTCAGTATTGCTGAAAACCTTCCAGCAAGTTTGCCCATTGCCTCCTGGTCATTAAACCTAAACTGTTCTGTCTAGTATTTAAGGCTTCCCCGACCCTGTGGCATTTTCCTCTGTTCCCAGTTACCATCCCTCTGGACCGTCCCTCTGTCTTTCCATTTCAAACGCTAGTTTTTCAAGGCCTGTGGGCATCTCAGGCTCACCCCTTCTCTCTTCCTTCCTTGAAATGTGATTGGTGATTTCTAAACCAATCACTGTAGACCAGTGCTGTCCAAAAATACAATGCAAGCCACATGCGTAATTTTCAAATTCAAAGTAATATTTTTAAAAACCCGATAACAAAAATCAGGTGGAATTAATTATAATCTATTTTATTTAACACAATATATAAAAATGTCTTTTCAGTATGTATATATACGACATTATTAATGAGATGTTGGTTTTTGGTACTAGGTGTTTAAAATCAGTTGTCTGTTTTGTACTTACAGCACCTGTTTGTCAGATGCGCAGCCACCCCCTGTGTCTAGTGTCAACCACATTGGACAGCACCAGACCCTATTCTAGTAGACTGTGGTGGCACAGGTGTGAAAGAGAAACCGTGGATAACGGAGCTGCTTTTCAGCCCTAGGGGCGTGCTCAAGAATCCCCCGTTACTCTGATCAAAGGACTTGCTAAGTTTAGAAATAAAGCGCTTTACAAATCAAATGTATGTAATTCAAATTTAAGATTATTCAAATTAAGAACATTTAAAGCTAACATTCAGCAACAATTTTAGTTTCTCTTTCAGTAGTCCTCCAGTTTAAATGGAAGCCTGAAAGAAAACTGCCTCTTACTGTTTTCCAAAGTGAATAATAATATACTCAGAATAACCAGTTGTCAGAATTATCCATTTAGGGAGAATCCATTGAGTTAAAGAGTGGTATTTCTATTTAGGTGCTAAAGAGTGTGATGAAACAAATTTCTGAGAGGTTGTGCCCATGGGCTGTTTACGTGAATTATCTCACACGTTCTCCTCTGACAGATGAAAACTGATCCAGTGCCTGACATTGTTGAAACTTGCCATTCTGAACTTCACTTCTCCATTCCCTAAGCGAGGTCTTCCAGCAAGAGTTTCTGCTTTGTTATCTAGTGTGATAAAAATCAGCCTGTCTTCACAGACTATGGCTTTTTATTGAGTGAGATTTCATTTTTGCAGCAGGAAAGATCTGGTGCCTCCATGACCCGCCTCTGTGAGGTCTGCTGCTGTCATGAGACCGAGTGAGGCAGTGCTTCACGGCCCTTTCACTTACGCAGAATATTAAAGGTCGTTTTAGTGCGATTCAGATATGATTTAAACTTGTTTGAAATTCTGAATTTATAGGGTAGATTCAGGCACATAATTTGCTTCCTTTTGTCCTAATTCTGGCTTTTTCCCTGCTTTTGGCTATTGGGCTGCAAAGTAGAAGTACAGCATCCCCCTCTGTATCTGCAGAATCCTCGTGGGGGATTCAACCAACCACAGACTGAAAATATGCAGGGAAAGAAGTGGATGGTTGCATCTCAACATGCACAGACTTTTTTTTGTCTTGTCATTATTCCCTAAACAGTACAGCATAACAAATATTTACATCGCATTCACATCGTATTGGGTGTCATAGGTGATCTAGAGATGATTTAAGGTATGTGAGAAGATGTGTGTAGGTTATATGCAAATATTGGGACATTTCAAATCAGGGATTTGAGCATCTGTGGATGTTGGTGTCTGTGGGAGTCCTGGAACCAGTCCCCCACAGATACCAAGGAACAGCTGTCCTCATAAGAGGACAGAAGAGTGTCCTTCTGAGGGGTGTAGGGCTGCTCACTGTGTTCAGCTTTCTTGGTGGGAATGCTAGTCTGAGTTTGTAAAATGCCTGCATTACAAGTAATTTTTAAAGGAGTACAGCCTTATCTCCAAGACAAGGAGTAGCGTATCTTGACTACTACTGGTGGTCTTGGGACTCCTCTGACATAGATGCCAGAGTGTTTATATCCAGGCTTGATTGGAAATTTCCATTGAATTGTAGATTGGGATTTGTCCTTTCATTTCATCTGTGTGTGTGTCATTTTCACTTTTGACTAAAATGTATAAGTAATAATAGCATTTTTCAATGTAAAAATATTTTACATGGTTTCTGATGGGACAATACGATAATGTCTGTAAAGATGTACGCACAATAACTATACTTAAGATAACCCAAGTTCCATTTATAGGATTCTCATCTTCAAAGAAATTGTATACGGTACCAGTCACACGCTACAGTAATACAGTAAAATAATAAAAGTCATACAGTGAAAAAGATTTTTATTCAAGGCATCATTAAGGATTAAAACTATGCCATATTGGAGTTGAGTCTTGATGAGTAACATTTTCATTGGTATTTTCCATCCTAAGCTGGATATGTTTCACGTTTATTTCAGTTACGCTTCTTGATAGGAAACACATGGCTTCATTGGCAGCCTGCAGTTTCCATAAGTATCTTATGAGCTCTTCCTGTTCAGAGCACTGGTGATATAAAATGAAATGGCTTTCCCGTTTTATTTTTGGATGCTAATGACTTCCATCTCCACAGGCATTGGAATGGATACTTGTGTCATTCCTTTGAGGCACGGTGGGCTTTCCTTGGTTCAAACCACAGATTACATTTACCCGATCGTAGACGACCCTTACATGATGGTAAGCGTGAGCCGATGTGTTTTTGTGACTGGAAGGGCTTATTTGTTTGGTTTGGGTTGTGGCTGGGGTTTTGTATGTATCTGTGGGGTTTTGGTTTTATTTCTGTTATATCCCGACTATACTGCCCCACCCTGCCCAGACTCCTGCAGTTGCTGAAGTCAGGCCTGTCCCCTGCCCACACTTGGCACTGGGCATAAAGCAATTAGGGAGGAAGCAGGGAAGGCCCTCTGCTGCTGTTGCAACTGAGTACATGCTGTGAGTAAGAACACCTCTTGTTTAGTAGCATGTCAATGGCCTGTTTTTGTCATTTTCTTCTTTCTTGCACCTTCTCTTCTTTGACATTGGTAACCTCCATCACCCCTGTGTTTTAGGCTGGAGATGTTACTGTCCTCTGTAATAGGACTGATCCTAAATGTTTCCTTCAAGAGATTAAGGAGCTAGTATCTCATCACAATTAGATGCCTCAAACATTAATTCGGATATCTGGTTAATTCACTCAACCCAGCCACTTGCACACCCACCACCGTGTGATGTGCCGCTGTACATAGTAGGTTTCTGACCACTGAGTTAAAGTTCCTGGCTACTGATGATACACTGCTGAGGTGTGTTCCCCAGTTGTTTACTGCGTAGTTGCAGCCAGCCACCCTTTGATCCACCCAACCTTTAACCCCAATTTGCTACCACCCAGGAGGAGCCAGTGGAGAGACTAGGAAAATCTGGTTTGCTATAAAATGCCAGGTGTTCTTCGTGTGTGGCAAGGACAGTGGGATCAGGCTGCACTGTAGGGACTTTATCATGAGGCAGCCACGTGGGGGGTGTTCACCCTCAGGTACCAGTGACAAATACCAGATTATTGGAAACCTATATTTCTTCCGCACATCTGTCCGTTTTCTCCTCTGGAGCAATACTCTTGAGACTGGGCAGGTAAGCCACAGCCCAGGTCCCACATGACCAGGTGGCAGGGATGGCTAAAACCACAGTCCATTGTTTTCCAGCATCTCCTAAAATGAGAGCACCCAGAACAGAAGGGGCGCTAAATCACCACCCCCCTAACTAGCGATTGGCTTGTGCGAGTTGTAGACCACCTGTTGGCCTTGTGGACTGGCTTGATGATACTGAAAGTGTGGCCACAGATGGTTGTTGAGCTGCATTGCTGACCTCCAGGAATGTATAAGAAAGCCTAAAGCAAGCAATTAAACAGCCACTGGAAGTGATAACACTTGGGAGTTTGATTATCCTTATGTCAGAAGGAAAATTTGTATTTTCTCTTTATTGTCTATAAAAGATAAAAATTTAGATAAGGGCAACTTAACTTTTAAAAATCTCCAGTGGCAATAAAAAAATCTTCATTACCACATTTCTGTTGAATTGTATTTTAAAGTTCCTAATAAAATGACATCATTTACTGGGAAATGCTTCTTTTTCTTTTGAAAACAATATGACTTCAGCCCTGGGTATTTTTTTATTTGTTTCTTAAGATGATTTTTCTGTTTATCTCATACATCCTTGAAAAGAAGCTACAAAAATTTTTTTTGTTTTTTTTTTGTTGTTGTTTATTGACAGTCTTGCTCTGTTGCCCAGGCTAGAGTGCAGTGGCACGATCTCAGCTTACTGCAACCTCCACCTCCCAGGTTCAAGCAATTCTCATGCCTCAGGCTCCCAAGTAGCTGAGACTACAGGTGTGCACCACCATGCCCAGCTAATTTTTATATTTTTAGTAGAAACAGCATTTTACCATGTTGGCCAGGCTGGTCTTTAACTCCTGGCCTCAAGTGATCCACCTGATTCGGCCTCTCAAATTGCTGGGATTACAGGCGTGAGCTATCACACCCAGCCTAAGCTGCAAACATTTCTTAATCCAAGTGCACAAAGACTATCTCCATCTCTATAACCACTAAAGCCAGCCATTTTTAGAATCTGTTTGGGATATGTGGCTGTTTCCAACTTTTCTTTAGGAGAGTTGTTTGCAGGCTTTTTCGCTCCATAGCTCTTCCCCCAAGACTGTCGGTTCTAAACTTGCTTCTCCTCCTCATTCGCTGCACATATACCCCTTCCCCTATCTAAATAAATTGCAGACTTCTAAAATTTAGAATGGAGAAAAACTGGTACATTCTTTGTCCTGCACAAGAAAGAGGTGGTAACAGGAATGTCTGAGAAAAAACGAATGGCCTAGTGACTCTGTGATGCAGGAAAGGTTGCCAGTCTGCAAATCATAGAAACTGAGGACCCCATCCTAGTAGCTGCTACTCCTGGAAAGTCTCCACGTTCTCTGTGGAGTCCACTCCATGGCTCACTCAGTTTCTGCAGATGGAAAGTCCCCGGTCGTCCTTTCTCATGTTTCCCTCTCTTCCCAGGGCAGGATAGCGTGTGCCAATGTCCTCAGTGACCTCTATGCAATGGGGGTCACGGAATGTGACAATATGCTGATGCTCCTTGGAGTCAGTAATAAAATGACCGACAGGGTAAGTAGGAGCTACCCGGCTGCTGCCTGGTCCGTGTTGTCCCGGTGGCATCTCTGGCCTTGGTTAGACTTGGTTTCCCATCTAGAAAGCGAGGAGCCCAGGCCATATGGCTCCCTGCACTCCTTCTGGCTCTCCACTTTTTGGCAGTTACCAGTAAATTAAAATGAGGAAGCCTGGCCTAGTCATCTCTGCACTTCTGCCACCTGCTCCCTTTCTCTCTTCCCAGTAGACTGAAACCAAGACTTTTTTTTTTTTTTTTTTTGAGACAGGAGTCTCACTCTGTCGCCCAGGCTGGAGTGTAGTGGCGCAATCTCAGTCCACTGCAACCTCCGCCTCCCGGGTTCAAACAATTCTCCTGCCTCAGCCTCCCAAGTAGCTGGGATTACAGGCACGTACCACCACACCTGGCTATTTTGTGTATTTTTATTAGAGACGGGGTTTTATCACGTTGGCCAGGCTGTTCCTGAACTCCTGACCTCAGGTAATCCACCTATCTCGGCATCCCAAAGTGCTGGGATTGCAGGCGTGAAACACCGTGCCCGGCCCAAGGCATTTGTGTATATTTTTTTTTGTTTTATTGAGACAGAGTCTCACTCTGTCACCCAGGCTAGAGTGTAGTGGCACAAGCTCAGCTCACTGCAACCTCCACCTCCCAGGTTCAAGCGATTCTCCTGCCTCAGCCTCCCAAGTAGCTGGGATTACAGGGGCACACCAGCACCCCCAGCTAATTTTTATATTTTCAGTAGAGATGGGGTTTCACCATGTTGGTCAGGCTGGTCTCGAACTCCTGAGCTCGTGATCCACCCACTTCGGCCTCCCAAAGTGCTGGGATTATAGGCATGAGCCACCGTGCCCGACCTGTGCATTTTTTAAAATAAAGTTTTGGCCATAGTAATGGTGCCTCAGTGTGAATCAGGCACAGCCTTACAGATGTGGGACACGTGGCACTTAGAGGGCACTCCCTCTGCTGTGGCTGGGGATGTCGTGGACGTAGATGGTGACGGGGGATAGGGCCACCAGGGGCTCACGCCTCTGTGTCATCGCCTAGCATTCTGTGCCCTTGCTGCCTGAACCTGTTCTTTGAACCAGAGATGAATTCCTATTTAGATAGACAGGTACTTGTTTTTGTCCCAAGAGCCCCCAACAGTTTGCCCTGCCTTAGAGAAACTTGAGTTTCCAGTAGGCTCTTTCCTGCCCTTGAACATGGGCTGTAGTCATCAGTGGTGCATGGTGGTCTTGGCGCAGGCTCTGTCAGTGTGGGTTACTCGTAGCCTGCAGCCAAGCCTTGGTAGGATGGATGCCTACTGCAGGGCAGGGGACCTGTGCTTAGGAAGCCAGTCTTGAGATTCTCAAGGAGCACTGGACAGCTGGCTTCCAGCAGTCATCAGACCTAGGGCTGGTCCTGTGCACTGAGTCCAGACAATGTTGGTGTCTGGGCTTTATTTACATTGTTGTCTAGAACATCTTCCAGCATTGGATAAAATGATGACAATGTGAAATATTTTCTAGCTTTTGTTTTTGTTTGTTTTTGAGACAAGATCTCCCTGTGTTGCCCAGGTTGGAGTGCAGTGGTGTGATGAGAGCTCACTGCAGCAGCCTCAGCCTCCCGGGCTCAAGACATCCTCCCACTTCAGCCTCCGGAATAGCTGGGACCACAGGCACATGCCACCACACCAAGCAATATTTTTTTTTTTTGTTTTTGAGATGAAGTCTCACTCTTGTGCCCAGGGCTGGAGTGCAGTGATGCGATCTTGGCTAACTACAACCTCTGCCTCCCAGGTTCAAGCGATTCTCCTGCCTCAGCCTCCCAAGTAGCTGGGATTACAGGCGCATGCTACCACACCCGGCTAATTTTTGTATTTTTAGTAGAGACGGGGTTTCACCATGTTGGCCAGGCTGGTCTCAAACTCCTGACCTCAGGTGATCTGCCCGCCTCAGCCTCCCAAAGTGCTGGGAATACAGGCATGAGCCACTGTGCCCGGTCACCCAGCAATTTTTACATGTTTCGTAGAGAAAGGGGTCTGTCTGCATTGCCCAGACTGGTCTTAAACTCCTGGGCTCAAGCTCTCTGCCCACCTCGGACTCCCAAAGTGCTGGGATTACAGGCGTGAGCGATTATGCCTGGCCCCTAACAACCTTCCCTGTCTGTAAACTTTGAGGACTTCCTTTAGGATTTTATGGTTCTTTTTATAACTGTAAGTGTAAAAACCTTCTTTTCTGGGTTTTGAACAGAATTCTTTGACTTTTTATTTGTACCTTTTTCAACCTTAGGAAAGGGATAAAGTGATGCCTCTGATTATCCAAGGTTTTAAAGACGCAGCTGAGGAAGCAGGAACATCTGTAACAGGCGGCCAAACAGTACTAAACCCCTGGATTGTCCTGGGAGGAGTGGCTACCACTGTCTGCCAACCCAATGAATTTATCATGTAAGTTGATTTTTGTTTCATATCACCTGACCTGTTTTTCTCTCTCTGTCCTCTCTTTTTAAAAATTGATGTATTAAGGTCAGGTGCAGTGGCTCACACATATGATCCCAGACTTTGGTAGGCCGAGGCGGGCAGATCACCTGAGGTCAGGAGTTTGAGACCAGCCTGGCCAATGTGGCGAAACCCTGTCTCTACTAAAAATACAAAAATTAGCCAGGCATGGTGGGGCAAGCCTGTAGTTTCAGCTACTCTGGAGGCTGAGGCAGGAGAATCGCTTGAACCCCAGGGGTGGAGGTTGCAGTGAGCTGAGATCATGCCCCTGCACTCTAGCCTGGGCAACAGAACAAGATTCTGTCTCCAAAAAAAAAAAAGACAAGAACGCAAGGCTGGGCGCGGTTGCTCATGCCTGTAATCCCAGCGCTTTTGGAGGCCAAGGCGGGTGGATCACCTGAGGTTGGGAGTTTGAGACCAGCCTGACCAACATGGAGAAACCCCATCTCTACTAAAAATACACAATTAGCCAGGCATGATGGTACATGCCTGTAATCCCAGCTACTTGGGAGGCTGAGGCAGGAGAATCACTTGAACCCAGGAGGCTGCGGCTGCAGTGAGCCAAGATCGCGCCACTGCACTCCAGCCTGGGCAACAAGAGCGAAACTCCATCTCAAAAAAAAAAAAAAATAGATGTATTAAGATATAATTTGCGTACTATACCATTCACCCATTTAAAGAGTCAGTGGTTTGGAGTATACTCAGAGTTGTACAGCCATTACCGGAGTTGATGTTAGGATGTTTTCATTGCTACAGGAAGAAACCCCATCCTCCTCGGCTCTCACTGTTCACTCCTGCTCCATCCTGGATTTTGTCACTTAGCATAGTATTAGCATACTTTTAAGGGTCATCTATTTTGTAGCATGTGTCAGTATTTTAATCCTATTTTTAAGACATTTTAGGTGTTTTTGTTTTTTTTTTTTGAGACGGAGTCTTACTCCGTCGCCCAGGCTGGAGTGCAGTGGTATGATCTCGGCTCACTGCAAGCTCCATCTCCCGGGTTCATGCCATTCTCCTGCCTCAGCTTCCCGAGTAGCTGGGACTACAGGCACCTGCCACCATGCCCGGCTAATTTTTTGTATTTTTAGTAGAGATGGGGTTTCACCATGTTAGGCAGGATGGTCTCGATCTCCTGATCTCATGATCCGACCGCCTCAGCCTCCCAAAGTGCTGGGATTACAGGCGTGAGCCACCGCGCCCGGCTGACATTTTAGGTTTTTTAGTTGAAGTATAATTCACGTAACAAAATTTCACATAACATAGAATTCAGCATTTTGAAGTACACAATGTGTTGGTTTTTAGTATTGACAAGGTTGTGCACCCATCACCACTATCCAATTCCAGAATGTTTTCATCACCCCAAAAAGAAGCCCTGTAGCTCACTCCCATTTCCCTCCTGCTCCCATCCTCTGGCAACCAAGAATGTGCTTTTGTCTCTAAGGATTTGCCTGTTCTGGACATTGTATAGAAATGGAATCGTGCAGCATGACATGCTGTGTCTGGCTTCACTCCCATAGCGGAATGTTTTCCGGGTCCATCCGTGTTGTAGCATGAATCGGTATCGCATTCCTTTCCATGGCTGTATAATCCATTGCATGGATGGACCCTGCTTTATTTAGCCATTCCTCAGGTGACGGACCTTTGGGTTGTTTCCACCTATTAGGAATGATGCTGCCATGAACATTCTAAGTTTTTGTGTGGACATAAGTTCCGGTCTCTTGGGTGTATACCTAAGAATTGACTGGGTCATGTGGTAATTATGTTTAACTTGAGGAATCATCAGACTGGTCTCCAACATGGCTGCGCCATTTTACGTTCCCAGCAGCAATGTATGAGGATTCCAATTTCTCTATGACCCCTCCAGTACTTGTTTTCCTGTCTGTCTTTTGGATTCTAGCCAGCCTACTGGGTGTGAAGTGGAATGTCTTTGTGGTTTTGATTTGTGTCTGCCTGATGACTGATGAGGCCGAGCATCTTTTCATGTGCTTACTACCCATTTGTGTATCTTCTTTGGAGAAGTTTCTCTCCTAACCAAGTTGTCACTTTCCATGTTTGATGTCTTGTTAAGAAAAGTCAGTCTTTTGGCCGGGCGTGGTGGCTCATGCCTGTAATCCCAGCACTTTGGGAAGCCAAGACGGGTGGATCATCTGAGGTCAGGAGTTCAAGACCACCCTGGCCAACATGGTGAAACCCTGTCTCTACTAAAAATACAAAAAATTAGCCGGGCACGATGGCAGGCGCCTGTAATCCCAGCTACTCAGGAGACTGAGGAGAGTGGTTTGAACCCAGGAGGCGGAGGTTGCAGTGAGCCAAGATCGTGCCACTGTACTCCAGCCTGGGTGACAGAGTGAAACTCAGTTTCAAAAAAAAAAGATCTAGAATTAGAAATACCATTTGACCCAGCAATCCCATTACTGGGTATATACCCAAAGGATTATAAATCATGCTGCTGTAAAGACGCATGCACACATATGTTTATTGCAGCACTATTCACAATAGCTAAGACTTGGAACCAACTCAAATGTCCATCAATGATAGACTGGATTAAGAAAATGTGGCACATACACACCGTGGAATACTACGCAGCCGTAAAAAAGGATGAGTTCATGTACTTTGCAGGGAGATGGATGAAGCTGGAAACCATCATTCTAAGCAAACTATCAAAAGGACAGAAAACCAAACGCCGCATGTTCTCACTCATAGGTGGGAGTTGAACAATGAGAACACTTGGACACAGGGCGGGTAACATCACACACCAGGGCCTGTCGGGGGTAGGGGGCTGGGGGAGGGATAGCATTAGGAGATATACCTAATGTAAAGGACGGGTTGATGGGTACAGCAAACCAACATGGCACATGTATACCTATGTATCAAACCTGCATGTTGTGTACATGTACCCTAGAACTTAAAGTATAATTTTAAAAAATTTAAAAAAAAAGAACATCAACTTTATGGTACAACTGAGTCTGAATTCGAAGACATTTATGTCTTCAGGTCTGGTTTTTGGAAAACAAGTTTCTTGCGTAGTCACAGAATTCTATTTTTCAAAGCTGAGAGTGGATACAAATGGTATAGGTTGAGCTGGGGAGCTGGGTGTTGGTATTGAAGTCTGTGGCCCTGGCTTTGTTTTCATCGACTTGGGTGAGTACCTGAGGAGGCCAGCATCGGGGAATGGAACGATTCAGGAGCTCAGCTGCTGAAGCTGCGAAAGGCACAACTCTCAGACCTGCTTCCTGGTAGTGTGAATGCAAGTCTGGTAGATGTTTCATTCGGGCACCAGTTGTCATCTTTTAGAGGTGCCTTTTTAGTATTGCCTTCTGTCTCTAAGACAGGGACCACCAAGGCGTCTGGGTGCCAGGTAGGAAACTCACCATCAGTCAGTCTGAGTTTGAGAACCTGGAGGCAGAAATCACCAAGACATTAGACCCACAGATTGCCTGCAAATCCACCAAACCCCTGGGCCGAAAAATCCGTCCTGAGTCTCTAGCATATCAGTGATCATAAAGAAGCACTCTCTGTTTCAGAAGCTTTTGAATGCTAGTGGGTCTGTAGTGAAAATTACACATACACTCGTATGTGGTCGAGGGGAAATCTGGGCCTGATGAAACGTTTGAAGGCTAAATGTTTCATTCTTTTTAAAAATATGTATATTATTTTTGAAATGGGGTCCTTGTTGTGTTGCCCAGGCTGGTCCTGAACTCCTGGGCTCAAGTGATCCTCCCCTCTTGACCTCTCAAAGTGCTGGGGTTACAGAAATGAGCCACTGTGTCCAGCCTGATGGCTGAATGTTTTGTTCCAGCAATAGCCTCAGTAGCAGGTTGCAAGGCTCTGTCCCATACATGCTGGTAGTTGGCTTCAATTTAAGTAAATGCAAAGGCAGATATATTTTTGACAGATTATTCCTTCTCTTGTGTTAATAACAATGAGCTCATCTCCTTGGTTAGTTTGACTAGAACATGCCCTTTTCTTTTCTTCAGGCCAGACAATGCAGTGCCAGGGGACGTGCTGGTGCTGACAAAACCCCTGGGGACACAGGTGGCAGTGGCTGTGCACCAGTGGCTGGATATCGTGAGTAAACCACTGCTGTGATGGGAGGGAGGGGAATGGTACGTTTGCAGGTAATTTTTGTTGGAGGATTTGGGAAATGAGGTTTTTTAGTTTCATATCCAGGGAGTTAATATTAGTCAAGTCCTTAAAGAAATCCTAGGAATTGTTCATAGTCTTTAAATAACAGTTTTGCATATTGAATGCTTGATTGCAGTAGGTAAGCCCCAGCTTGGAGCTTTAAGATTTTTCTGTAAAGAATTTGCTCGGCAGGGGGTTAGCTTTGTTTACTTGGCCCTGAGATAGCTTCGTCTTTCATGTCTTAAACATCACTAAGAAATAATATGAAGGAGAATTGGTGGAAGGCGTAGTGTTTGGGGTATAAATAAAACCAGGGTTATTGACAGTTTAAATTGTTTTATGCAGTTTTTGGTTGTTTTTGTTTGGTAGTTTTGTCTTTTTAAACTGATGAGTAACTCAGAACATTTTGATAAATAATTCTCTTGTGCAGAATGAATCTATCTATAATGAGGATATGTCTTGTGAGTCATTTTTCCAGTGAGCTATAATCATACTTTAAGATTGGTTTTCTTCATTGCCGTAACAACTCACAAATTAATAAGATTGGGGTATATTCTCACATATCATGGTGCATTTAATTTCTACAACTATCATCTGAAACTACCAGTCCTGAGAAACAGTTGAAAGAGAATAATCAATAATTACACGTCTTTCATCAACCTGGTATATCTTAGCTTGATGTCGCAGGGTAGAGAAATTCTCTAAGGCTGCCACGTTCTTTAGCAGTTTTTCCCTCCTCCCCCTGTGATGGGGAGCAGAGCAGAAGGCCACTGCGGGGATGTTGCGCAGAGGTGCCTTCCAGCCCCACCTCCCAGGCCTGAGCTAGCAGGGAGCTGGAAGCAGGTGAGGCAGGGAGTGTCACGGATGGGGGAGCCCTTCTCCACTAGCAGGACACTACACTGCATGTACAGCAGTGCCGCCGTGTGTCCCGCTAGACTACACATACCCAATAAATCACAGCACTTAATTACAGAAATGTGGGATGAGAACAGAAAAGACGCCATGCTGACAGGTCTAATGGACACCTAAAATACTATCCACAGAAAAACCAGAGTTGGAAAATTCAGTTTTCTGAATTAAAGTCCCTAGAAGTTAAATAAGAAAAAGTTGCTGTTTTTCTCAGTTGCTAGAAGTAAAGATTAATCACATTTTCCTCTCTTTCTCTCCCTCACCTACATTTCTATTATCAGCCTGAGAAATGGAATAAGATTAAACTAGTGGTCACCCAAGAAGATGTAGAGCTGGCCTACCAGGAGGCGATGATGAACATGGCGAGGCTCAACAGGACAGGTATGACAGGTGGGAAGGGCGCTTCGGTCCCAGGGGTCCAAGACAGTAAATGTCTTAGGCTTTTCTGGCCACATACTGTCTCAGGGTAGGTGGCCAGATTTTTGGCCAGTGACTACAGACCGTCTTCTCCTGGTACCAGGTTGGCATTCCATAGATCACTGCAGATGGTCCCTGACTTACAGTGCTTTATAATTAAGAAGGAAGTCCTAACTTCTGACATACCAGAGGAACTATTTCTAGAAAGCGTTTGTGTGGGTTACCTATGTAAGATTTGGAAGCAAACCATTCAGAATGGAAATTTAGAAAGTTTAAGATACTGGAGCTATTTCCAGAACATAACCTTGGAAGTCTAGAAGTGCCCCCACTCCCACCCATCCCCTGCATTCCTGCTTAGGTGTAACCACTGAATTTTGTGTTTATTTTCTTGCATTTTAGAATATTTTTATTGCACAGCCCTTGTGTTCTTAAGCAGCAAATTAGTTTTGCATTTTTTTTACTTGTTTTGTTCACCATTGTTCCTGAGAGTCTCCTTGTTATATGTAGCTGTAGTAGATTCCTTTTGGCTGTGTTGATTTTTCCACTGGCTTCTCTGCTCTCCTGTTTCACACTGGGGCGACTGCTATGGACTTCCTTGGCCCAGCCCTCTGAGGCACGTGTAAGAGATCAGTACTGGCTCAGCTTTTATAGATAGTGCCAAACTGTCTTCCAAAGTGTTCACCACAGTTTACAATGGCACACTATGTTTAGAAAGCGTTTTTTAATATGTCTTCTCTTCCCATTTATTTTATACATTTTTTCTACTATAAAAGAATTACATGCTTATTATAGAAAAGTTTTTAGAAAATGGAAAATAGTACAGAAAAAAGTTGTCCATAGTCCCTCCACCCAAAACAGCTCCGGCTAGCATTTTTATGTATTCTTCCAGGACTTTTTTTCATGTTTGGCTGGTGATTTACTATTGTTGTTTTAAAGTAGTGGTTAGTATAAGTTTTCACTATGTAATGGTTAGTATATGTATTTGGAGTGCCTGCTTTTGTTGTTTTGACATGACTAATGTTTCCCATATTATGTATCCTAGTAAACTTTTTTTTTTTTTTTTTTTTTTTTTTTGAGACAGAATCTAACTCTGTCGCCCAGGCTGGAGTCCATTGGTGTGATCTCGGCTCACTGCAACCGCTACCTACCAGGTTCAAGCAGTTCTGTTGCCTCAGCCTTCCCAGTAGCTGGGACTACAGGCACGCATCATCACCATGCCCGGCGGATTTTTGTATTTTTGGTAGAGACAGGGTTTCACTATGTTGGCCAGGCTGGTCTCGAACTCCTGACCTCAGGTGATCTACCCTCCTTGGCCTCCCAAGGTGCTAGGATTATAGGCGTGAGCCATAGTACACATAATTTTTAATGACTAGATAATGTTCTACCAGAGAAATGTACCACAATTATCTTTTACCTATTGTTTTACAATTCATTTGGAAATAAAAATTTTCTGTAATTTGTTGTTACTTGTAAGAAAGTTATAGCCAGGCACAGTGGCTCACACCTATAATCCAGCACTTTGGGAGGTTGAGGCAGGAGGATCACTTGAGTCCAGCAGTTGGAGACCAGCCTAGGCAACATAGTGAGACCCCATCTCGTCTCTTTAGCTGCGCCTGGTGCATTCCTGTAGTCTAAGCTACTCGAGAGGCTGAGGTGGGAGGATTACTTGAGCCCAGGATGTTGAGACTGCAGTGAGTGGTGATCATACCCCTACGCTTCAGCCTGGGTGACAGGGTGAGATCATGTCTCAAAAAAAAAAAAAAAGTTATAGATCAGAGGAACAGAATAGAGAATCCAGAGGTAGGTCCATATTATAGTCAACTGATTTTTTTTTTTTTTTTGAGATGGAGTTTTGCTCTTTCGCCCAGGCTGAAGTGCAGTGGCAGGATCTTGGCTCACCGCAACCTCCGCCTTCCGACTTCAAGTGATTCTTCTGCCACAGCCTCCCAAGTAGCTGGGATTATAGGCGCCCGCCACCACGCCTGGCTAATTTTTGTATTTTTAGTAGAGATGGGTTTTCACCATGTTGGCCAGGCTAGTCTTGAACCCCTGACCTTGTGATCCGCCTGTCTCGGCCTCCCAAAGTACTGGGATTACAGGCGTGAGCCACTGCACCTGGCCTAGTCAACTGATTTTTGACAAAGGAGTAAAGGCAATTCATTGGAGAAAAGAGTCTTTTCACCAAATGGTGCTGGAACAAGTGGACATTCACATGAAGAAAATTATTCTGGATGCAGATCTTATACCTTTCGTGAAGATTAACTCAAAATGAATGTTTAGTGTGTTTTCACACTGCTATAAATAGCCAAGACTGGATAATTTATTTATTCATTTATTATTATTATTATTATTTTTTTTTTTTTTTTTTGAGACTGAGTCTCTTTTTTTTTTTTTTTTTTTTTTTTTTTTTTTTTTTTTTGAGACGGAGTCTCGCTGTCGCCCAGGCTGGAGTGCAGTGGGGTGATCTCGGCTCACTGCAACCTGTGCCTCTCAGGTTCAAGCGATTCTCCTGCCTCAGCCTCTGGAGTAGCTGGGATTACAGGGCGCACGCCACCACACCCCACTAATTTTGGTATTTTTAGTAGAGACGGGGTTTCACCATGTTGGTCAGGCTGGTCTTGAACTCCTGACCTTGGCCTCCCAAAGTGCTGGAATTGCAGGCGTGAGCCACCATGCCCAGCTGACTGGGTAATTTATAAAGGAAAGAGGTTTAATTTACTCACAGTTTCACATGGCTGGGGAGACCTCAGGAAACTTACAGTCGTGGCAGATGGTGAAGGGGAAACAGGCACCTAGGTTCTTCATGAGGCAGCAGGACAGAGAAGAGCAGGGGAAACTGCCACTTACAAAACCATCAGATCTCATGAGAATTCATTCACCCTGACGAGAACAGCACGAGGGAAACCGCCCTCATGATTCAGTCACCTCCCACCAGGTCCCTCTCTTGACATGTGGGGATTACAATTCGAGATGAGATTTAGGTGGGGACACAGAGCCAGACCATATTGATGATTCGTAGACCTAAATAAAACACAACAATATAAAACTGGAAGAAGGTAACATCAGAGAAAATTGAGGTGGCTTTGGGTTTGGTGATGACTTTATAACACCAAAAGCACTATCTATTAAAAAATTGCTAAGTTTGGCTTTATTAATATAAAAAACTTCTGCTCGGTGAAAAACACTGTTAAGGAAATGAAAAGACAAGCCACAGACTGGGAGAAAAATTTTGCCAAACACATACCTGTTCAAGGTCAGGTATCCAAAATATACAAAGGACTCTTAAAACTCAATAATAAAAAACAACTCAATTTAAACATGGCCCAAAGACCTTGACAGACACCATGAAAGAAGATAACGCAGATGGCAAATAAGCATAAAAGGAAACCTTCAGTGTGGTACGTCAATAGGGAACTGTAGATTAAAGCAGTGATTGAGATGCCACCACATACCTGTTAGAATGGCTAAAATCCAAAACACTGAGAATAGCCTGGGCAACATGGTGAAACCCCATCTCTACCAAAAAAATACAAAAAATTAGCTGGGCATGGTGGCTTGCGCCTTAGTCCCAGCTACTTGGGAAGCTGAGGTTGGGAGGATCCCTTGAGCCCAGGAGGTCGAGGCTGCAGTAAGCTGTGATCGCACCACCTCACTCCAGCCTGGGTGACAAAGCGAGACCCTGTCTCAAAAAAAACCCAAAAACACTGATAATACCAACTGCTGGCAAGGATGTAGAGAAACAGGAAGGAACTCTCATTTATTACTGGTAGGACTGAAAACTGGCACAGCCACTTTAAAAGTCAGTTTGGCAGTTTCTTATGAAACTAAATATGTTATTATATGATGCAGCGATTGTGCTCCTTGATATTCACTCAAAAAAGTTGAAAACTTACATTCACACAAAAGCCTGCAGACAAATGTTCATAGCAGCATTATTCATAATTGCCAGAACTTGGAAGCAGCCATTCATTTCTTCAGTAGGTGAGTGGATGAATGGATAAACAAAATGTAGTGTATCTGTATGATGGAATATAATTGAGCAGTAAAAAGAAATGAGCTATCAAGCCATGAAAAGATGTGGAGGAATCTTAAGTGCATATTACTAAGTGAAAGAAGCCAGTCTGAAAAAGCTCCATACAGAAGGATTCCAACTGCATGACATTCTGCAAAACTGTAGAGATGCAGAAAGGATCAGTGGTGGCCAGAGGTTATCGGAGAGGAAGGGGATCAGGTAGAGCAGAGCACTGAGGATTTGTTACTTCCCACTTAATTTCTTTCTAAACGCAAAACTGCTCCAAAAAATAAAGTCTGTAAATTTTTTTAAAATTAAATAATAGGTCGGGTGAATGGATAATTAAATAATAGTAGGTGAGTGGATGAATGGATAAACAAAATGTAGTGTATCTGTAGTATGGAATATTATTGAGCAGTGGCTCACACTTGTGATCCCAGCGCTTTGGGAGGCTGAGGCAGGACGATTGCCTGAGCCCAAGTGCAGTGAGTTATGATCATGCCACTGCACTCCAGCCTGGTCAATAGAGCAAGACTCTGTCTCTTAAAAAAAAAAAAAAGAAAGAAATTTAAAAATAAACTTGCACGCAATTCACCTTTCGCGGGAGTACCTTGATACTGAGCAAGGCCTTCTTAAAAAGTGCTGGTCTTGGCCGGGTGTGGTGGCTCACATCTGTAATCCCAGCACTTTGGGAGGCCAGGGCGGGCGGATCATGAGGTCAGGAGTTCAAGATCAGCCTGGCCAATATGGTGAAACCCTGTCTCTGCTAAAAATACAGAAATTAGCTGGGCGTGGTGGTGCGCACCTGTAGTCCCAGCTATTCAGGAGGCTGAGGCAGGAGAATCACTTGAGCCCTGGAGGCAGAGGTTGCAGTGAGCCGAGATCGTACGACTGCACCCCAGCCTGGATGACAGAGCGAGACTCCATCTCAAAAAAGGAAAAAAGTGCCGGTCTTTGGTTTTAGGATGGTCTTGGCCGGTTTACCTTCCACTGAGATCATAATCCCTCTGCATAGTTTTTTTAGTTTACTGGAAAACTACTATTAATTGAAGCTTCTGATAGTTTTCAGGTGGCTCAAAGTGAAATAAGAACTTTTGGAATTTCACTATGTCTTTGGTTGATTTTACATTGCGTTTTCATTATTCCGATACGTCATCTCCCTGACAAGTAAGGAAGTTGCAGATTAATTGTGGACGTAAGATTTTTGAGTTGAGGAAAGGTGTTTTTTCTCAGAGCCGCCCCCTCTCTCTCCCAGCTGCAGGACTCATGCACACGTTCAATGCCCACGCCGCCACTGACATCACGGGCTTCGGGATTTTGGGCCATGCGCAGAACCTGGCCAAGCAGCAGAGGAACGAGGTGTCGTTTGTAATTCACAACCTCCCGGTGCTGGCCAAGATGGCTGCGGTGAGCAAGGCCTGCGGAAACATGTTCGGCCTCATGCACGGGACCTGCCCGGAGACTTCAGGTACAGGATGCTGGGCGCATCTGAGGACTAAATAGTGAGGCTAACAGAAAGCTCAGCGAGAAAGCAGCAGCCCCACCCCGAGTGGGCCCCCACTCTGTTCGAGTTCCATGCTGCTGACCTCGGCCTCCGCAGCAGCTGGTGCCTTTCCTCCTCCCGGTGGGTCTGGTCCCCGCCATCCTGGGTGGATCCAGCAGCCTTGCTGAGGTTGAGTGGCCTGTGCTCTTTTTGATGCAAGGATATGGTGATGGGGGAAATAAGGTAGCATTCAGTTTTTACTGAAAGCTTCGCATTTGAAATTAACTGTAATACCCCTAGGTTACTTTGAACAGGTGATATTTTTTTCCTTGAAAATTGTCTAACGTTGTTTTAAGAATGATAGAGAGAAAAGGGGCCAGGTGTGGTGGCTCTTGCCTGTAATACTGGCACCTCAGGAGGCTGAGGCAGGCACATCACGTGAGATCAGGAGTTGAAGACCAGCCTGGCCAACATGGTGAAACCCCATCTTCACTAAAAATACAAAAAAAAAGTAGCTGGGCGTGGTGGTCCATGCCTTTAATCCCAGCTGCTTGGGAGGCTGAGCCAGGAGAATCACTTGAACCTGGGAGACAGAGGTTGCAGTGAGCCGAGATTGCGCCACTGCACTCCAGCCTGGGTGACAGAGCGAGATTCTGCCTTAAAAAAAAAAAAAAAAGAAAAGAGAATGATACAGAATAAAAAAGAATGCAATAGGATATTATGTCTTTAAAATGCCATTTTTCTTTTTTCTTAGATGTGCAGTAATTTATTAGAGGAAACATAAATGGAGGATAAACGGGAGATGGAGCAAGCGTAGGTAGAGAGAGCCATCAGACAGCAGTGCAGGTCTGACACCATACGCCCCAGTAGTTTGACTCCTAGGGAGCTTTTATATCCCTTATCATTTTTCTAAGATTAAGCTCCTTTTGTTTCCTGATTAATTTGGTGGCCACATCTGTCCGGAACTTGTGGGACGTCCTCCTCTTCATCATGGCAGGTACTCCAGCATGGCCTGCCGGCCGCCGAGGCCGCCACCCACAGCCTACAGGCTCGCCATCGCTCATTCCCACTCCCGCAGCCCCAGCTGGAGCCAGATGGCGCGTCCTCCTGAAGTACCATTTCTCTTTTGCCCCCTTTGTTCCCTTTACCTTTACTGTTTTCATCTTTTAAGTCTCCCTGTTTTTCCCTTTTTTTCGGTTTCTCTCTTTTTCTATTTCCTTTCCTCTAGAACTCTAGTTTTCTACCCGCAAAAGAGTGGAATCACCTTAGGATTTTAAATATACACATGCCGGCCAGGCCTGGTGGCTCACGCCTGTAATTCCAGCACTTTGGGAGGTCGAGGTCAGGAGTTCGAGACCAGCCTGACCAACATGGTGAAACCCTGTCTCTACTAAAAATACAAAAATTAGCGGGGCGTCGTGGCGTGTGCCCTGTAATCCCAGCTACTCCAGAGGCTGAGGCAGGAGAATCGCTTGAACCCAGGAGGCACAGGTTGCAGTGAGCCAAGATCGCCCCACTGCACTACAGCCTGGGCGACAGAGTGAGACTCTGTCTCAAAAAAAAAAAGAAAAATACACATGCCTAGCCCCAGCCTCCCAAAAACGGTGGGATCCATCTCGGGTGGGCCTGGGCCTCAGCATCTGTGAAGGCTGCCTGGGAGATTCCGTAGTAGGCCGGGGCAAGGGACCACAGTGCTGGGACCACAAAGCCCTGGTCACGTCGACCTGTGCTGTGGCGAGGGGGCTTCAGGACTCTGCCAGGCCTCTCACCGCCTTTATAGAGGACGCTTCAGCCTCCCGTTTAAAAAAACAAACCATTTTCTAGAAGTAAGCTCCAACAGGGCAGGGTTTTTTTCCCCTGCTGGTTCAGGCTCTGGCCAGGACAGTGTCTGCCACATAATTGGGCACTGAATGGAAATTGAATGAATTGACGAATGTTACCAGCCATTTAAATTTGTTTCCTTTCTTCAGAAATAGGAAGTTTTTAATTTTATGATGGAGTTTTCCTCTTGTCACCCAGGCTGGAGTGCAATGGCGCGATCTCAGCTCACTGCAACCTCCCCCTCCCCGGTTCAAGCGATTCTCTTGCCTCAGCCCGAGTAGCTGGGATTACAGGGCTGTGCCATCATGCCCAGCTAATTTAGAGACGAGGTTTTACCATGTTGGCCAGGCTGGTCTTGAACTACCTCCTGACCTCAGGTGATCCACCCGCCTCGGCCTCCCAAAGTGCTGGGATTACACGTGTGACCCACCATGCCCAGCCACAAGGTTTTTACATTTTGTAGAAGTAGACTACAGTTTTTCCTCATCATCTTATTTCTACTTAGAGAAATAAATTTTGGCCCGGTGCAGTGGCTCACGCCTGTAATCCCAGCACTTTGGGAGGCCAAGGCGGGTGGATCACGAGGTCAGGAGATCGAGACCATCCTGGCTAACACGGTGAAACCCTGTCTCTACTAAAAATACAAAAAATTAGCCGGGTGTGGTGGCGGGCGCCTGTAGTCCCAGCTACTCAGGAGGCTGAGGCAGGAGAATGGTGTGAACCCGGGAGGTGGAGCTTGCAGTGAGCCGAGATCACACCACTGCAATCCAACCTGGGAGACAGCGAGACTCCGTCTCAAAAAAAAAAAAAATTTATGGCCTATTTACTGGAAAGAGCAACAAAGGTTTATTTTAATGTATTTTATACTGTTTGTCTTTTGGATATAATGACAGAGTCATGACTGGAACCTAGATACTTTGGGGCATACACTGTTTCATGAGTCTTAAATTTTCTAAAAATACAAAAAAGCATTCTCGGTAAAATGAGAGAGTCGATGTAGAGAATCAAAAGTTCCCTTTTGTTTGTCAATATTTGTTTCAGTGTAGCTTGGAAAAAATAGCTACCACATGGGTTATTGAAGCCCCAAACACCTTACCCCTACACAGTGTTATGTGGTTCACGAATAGGTCATTTTCACAGTTGAAAGTTGGAGTGTATATGTGTGTGTGTTAGGAGTTTACTAGCAATTGCTTAATTACAGCATAGAACAGGCCTCTTAGGCTGGGAGTGGTGGTTCATTCCTGTAATCTCAGCACTTTGGGAGGCCAAGGCAGGTGGATTGCTTGAGTCCAGGAGTTTTAGACCAGCCTGGACAACACAGTGAAACCTTGTCTCTACAGAAAATTAGCCAGGTGTGGTGGTGCACACTTGTAATCACAGCTACTGGGAAAGCTGAAGTGGGAGGGTCACCTGAGCCAGGACATTGAGGCTGCAGTGAGCTGTGATTGTACCACTGCACTCCAGCTTGGGCCACAGAGTGAGACCCTGTCTCAAAAAAAAGCTGCTTAGTTGAATGGGAAGAGCTACTTGCATATAGGTGGCAGCAAGTTGTTGATGGAAGTTGGATCTCTGCAGAAGCAGCAGAGGCAGAGAAGCTGCTGTCATGTCAACACTAACAGTCATTCTTGTTTTCTTTTGCCAGGCGGCCTTCTGATCTGTTTACCACGTGAGCAAGCAGCTCGGTTCTGTGCAGAGATAAAGTCCCCCAAATATGGTGAAGGCCACCAAGCATGGATTATTGGGATTGTAGAGAAGGGCAACCGCACAGCCAGAATCATAGACAAACCCCGGATCATCGAGGTCGCACCACAAGTGGCCACTCAAAATGTGAATCCCACACCCGGGGCCACCTCTTAATCTAGACAGAAATAGCTGTTTGGTTTTGTTTTTAAATAGATCTATTTCCCTTATCACTTCAATTAAAGACTATAAACAACAAAAATCTCATTGTGTCTACACATCGGGGTGACCTTAGGTCGGTTTGTAAGTGGATACAATTAATAAAATAAAATCCATTGCCTTTTTTTCCTGTTACATTAACTGAAGATGCACCTAATCTTGAGGCAGCTTCTGAGTTGAGAATTATATTGTTATCCAATACTGTTGATTCATTTTGAATCTTTAGACACTTATCTCTTGCCGCATAGGCTTTTTAAAGGTGCTTTCACATAGCACAGGCATTACCCGTAGTCGTGTCAAATAGCAGTTGGTGTCTTCATTTTATGTATATTTATCATATAAGTCTGATTTTTTTTTTTAAGCGTCTTGAATGGTTTTCTGGAGAGACAGCATTGGTAAGTGGCACATGACGGTATCCCAGTCATAAGAGGGTTGCATGATTCCTTTGAGTGTTTGATTTGAAAAGCCTAGTCTTGTCTCTCAAGAGCATCTCGGACCCAGAACATTCTCCAGTAGTGCATTCAGTTCAACACAGCAAGTGCTTCATTGCATGGAAAACACTTTGAAGACAAAAAAGAAATCTTATTTCTTTTTTTGTAGCCTTCCTGATATTTACAGTAATACCATTAACTGTTTTATCGATAGCAAAAAAGGATACTTTTTGCAATGTTATTAGATGTTCTATAGTGCTACAAGGAATTGCCTTCCGAATGGAGGTTCATGTATAATACTCATTTACAATTCAATATATAATTACACAAATAATTTTTAAATATAATCAATAGTAAAGACTGTTCTGTGGATGGTAGTGTTTAATACATTTTCTATTTTGTACAGTGATTTCAGGCCTTTTGTTTTCTTAAAATCAGCAGCTGTTTGGCCTAATTCTTAGCATTATTTTGTCCTTTGCGCCAGTACTTTTTTGTGCACGCTTTTTGTGATCTGTGTTAAAAACCTGCATTGCCAACATTGCAGCTCGAACTTAAACTTGTTATTCAAATAAATATTTAATTTTTTAAATTGCTCTTGTATAATCAGATGCCCCTTTTAGTATTATTTTAGAAGCGTTGGGAGGGTTTTGCCTAAAGTACAATTTATCGGGAAAAACTAGATTTTAGTTTTATAAAACTTTTAAGTCTTTCATGGGACCTATATTTTCTTGAATTAAATTTTGTAGTTCTAGAATAAATAGGCAATCTAAAAAGGTGTTCTCTGTGTTATGTAAAGTGGAGGCTTCCTTATATTTTAACCTACTAAGCAATGAGGAGGGATTCCTGTCATTAAGCACAAGGGCGCTGGATCCTCAAGTGCCCATCTTCGTGAGAGAAAAAGCAGCACATCCTGCCCATTTCTGGTGCTTTCTGCTCACAGGCACCAAAGCTGCACATGTAAACTGACTTCTTGCCAAAGGAAATGACCCCTGGGAAGTTCAAGCTCCTGGAAGAGGCTTTAACTCGGACGCGCCCTCCTCCAGGAACCAGTGGGCAGGGCAGCCTTCATGCATGTGTAACTGGACCTCCAGCCATAAGCATGGTGTGCAGTATGGAAGAGCCTGCTACGGAACTGAAAGTGATTGGACATTTTATAGGAATTGATAGAGATGTTGGTCCTCAAAAGCTACAAACCAGTGGTCTGCAAAATAAAGTGTGTTGGAAACCTCTAGTGAGATAAACCTACTGTTGAGCTTTTTTTTTTTTTTTTTTTTAAATAACGATGACTGAACTTCAGTGTAGCCTGTGCCGTGAGAGCTGGTGTTTTCCTCAGTGGCAGGCCTATTGAGAGGAGGGAGCTAAGTGGAGTATGTACTTAAGGAAATAATATTTGTGAAGATTGATATTTATAAAGAGAAAATGTTGGGTACTTAGAGGTCCGTGTAAGTCTTATGATCCCAAGAGGAAGAATTTGTATTTAAAGCAGTGTTGGCTGGGCATGGTGGCTCACACCTGTAATATCAGCACTGTGGGAGGCCGAGGTGGGCAGATGACCAGAGGTCCAGAGTTCAAGACCAGACTTGCCAACATGGTGAAATCCTGTCTTTACTAAAAATACAAAAATTAGCTGGGTTTGGTGGCGCACACCTGTATTCCCAGCTACTGGGTAGGCTGAGGCACAAGAATCGCTTGAAGCCGGGAGATAGAAGTTGCAGTGAGCAACCTGCCATCACACCACTGCACTCCAGCTTGGGCGACAGAGACTCAGTCTCAAGAAACAGACTCAAGTCTCAACAAGCAAACAAAAACCAGTATTGTATAGTGGCCCAGATTCACCTGTGTTAGAATCACCCGGGGTGTTAGAAGGCAACATTCCTGCCCCTGATTTTCCAGATTCACAGAATCAGAATTTCTGGGGTGTGGGACTTTGGGAATATCTTAAATAAGGACCCTATGGGGCTATGGCCAAAAAAGTTTCAGAACCATGGGTGCAGCACACCAACATGGCACATGTATACATATGTAACAAACCTGCACGTTGTGCACATGTACCCTAAAACTTAAAGTATAATTTAAAAAAAAAACTGATCTCAAAAGGAATGTTGCAGAGGAAGGCAGGGAAAGTAAGAGGACCTGGTTTTGCAACTTTTTTTTTTTTTTTTTTTTTGAGGCGGAGTCTCTCTATCAGCCAGGCTGGAGTGCAGTGGTGCGATCTCAGCTCACTGCAACCTCTGTCTCCCAGGTTCCAGTGATTCTCCCGCCTCAGCCTCCCGAGTAGCTGGGATTACAGGCGCATGCCACCAAGCCTGACTGATTTTTGTATTTTTAGTAGAGACAGGGTTTTGCCATGTTGGTCTCGAACTGAGCTCAAACGATCCGCCTGCCTTGGCCTCCCAAAGTGCTGGGATCACAGGTGTGAGCCACCATGCCCAGCCTTTTGCAACATATTTTGCAGGAATTTTTTCCTCGACCATTCTCTTACCGACCATTCCGACCAAATCTTGACCATTCTGTTTACTTCCCACATCTGAGCTACGGCCCAGCAAGGCAGCAGAAAGACCTGTATTTTGAAAGCTCCACGAAGACTCAAATGATTGTCACTGAATATTGGAGTTCTTGGCAAAATCTATGTAGAACATTTTAAAAGTCAGTGGACAGGCCAGACATGGTGGCTCACGTCTATAATCCTAGCACTTTGGGAAGCTGAGACAGGAGGATCACTTGAGCACAGGAGTTCGAGACCAGCCTAAGCAACATAGTGAGACCTCGTCTCTACAAAAAATAAAATTTAAAAAGTGAGTGGAGAGTAAGTAGTCGATTTGACTTTCTGGTAGCACTTTAAAACTTCACACTGAAGTGTATTTATCTTGGTATACTGATTTGTTTTCTGTAAATCATATAGTATAGTTGCATCCAAAAATACAGTCTGTTAGAATGCATAGAATTAGTGAATACAACCTGAGGCAGCTGGATCATGGTGGAGTCAGTCATTCAGGCACTAGGAATAATCTGAAGGAATATTGAAGCTGCTTATTTGCACAGGCTGTGTTGAGGTATTTATTGTGTTTCAGTCCAAGAAAAATTGAAATATTGTATAAGCAATATGTACTTTTTGGCTCAGTCTTTAAAAATAGTAGATTATAGTCTTCCAAGTTCTGCATGCTTTATAATGAATAAATGTGTTTCAAATTGTTCTGTTTATAGATGAATGAGCCAGGCATTTTCAGTCTGAATTTAGCATTCCCTTTAAAAGAGTTATATCTGAGTTCTCAATCTTAGTTTTAATTGTATAGAGACCAGAATAGCTATACTGTGCTGCACTTTATTTTTAGGTAATAGAGCAAGCGTAGTCATCGACGCTTCAGATACCAGTCGTGTCCGTGTGTGTGTTTTTGTGTATATTTGTTTGTATATATCCTTGAGTTGCTCACTTCCACACCCAGCCCACCCTTTCCTCTAGCTTAGGCAGTGGTTGCATAGACAACATAATTTACTTTGAACAGTAATTTGTAAATTTTTCTCATTAAGAATCCGCATATGAATTATAGTCATTACATATGCCAAGGGGCACAGTGAAAATCACCAATGTCCTGTTAAAAGTGAAGCCTGGGAATATCCTGTTATCTATGCTGAAATCTCTGTGTCTTGAATGAGGATGGGAGTGGATGGATTACACAAGGTCTTCATTCGGTAAAGCAGTAGGTGAGACGGTGCTCCCATAGGCATCTAGACTGGTTCTGGAATTGCCTGGAATCCAAGCCTGCTGCCAATGCCAAATGCTTTGATTTGTCTGTGAATTCAGGGTAAGGAAGGTGCTGTAAGTTTCCCTACGTTTCACAGTCCTTAAATATGACATCCAGCACTGAACACACAGTTGATGCTTTCCATGGTTTTTGTCCTTTCTAAGTCCTGTTGCTTTCAGAGGGAGTTTTATGCTTAGGAGAAACTGCATGTAATGAAGCCTATCAAAGCTTCATAGAAACAGAAAAGACCATGTGCGGTGGCTCACGCCTGTAATCCCAGCACTTTGGGGGGCCGAGGTGGGCGGATCACCTGAAGTCAGAAGTTCGAGACCAGCCTCAACATGGAGAAACCCCATCTCTGCTAAAAAAAAAAAAAAAAAAAAAGAAAATACAAAATTAGCCAGGCATGGTGGTGCATGCCTGTAATCCCAGCTACTCGGGAGGCTGCGGCAGGAGAATTGCTTGAACCTGGGAGGCGGAGGTTGTGCCGAGCTGAGATTGCGCCATTGCACTCCAGCCTGGGCAACAAGAGCGAAACTCCGTCTCAAAACAAACAAACAAACAAACAAACAAACAAAAACAGAAAACTCACTCTATTAGTGATCTGATTGCAGAAAAGCCAGTGTGTTTTCTACTATTATATTTTTAGAACAAGCATAGGCCCGTAGAAAATTATAAGGGCCTGGCTGGGCACAGTGGCTCACGCCTGTCATCCCAGCACTTTGGGAGGCCGAGGCTGGCAGATCCCGAGGTCAGCAGTTCGAGACCAACCTTACCAACATGGTGAAACCCTGTCTGTACTAAAAATACAAAAATTATCCGGGTGTGGTGGTGCGCACCTATAATCCCAGCTACTCGGGAGGCTGGGGCAGGAGAATCGCTTGAACCCGGGAGCCAGAGGTTGCAGTGAGCCAAGATCGTGCCATTGCACTCCAGCATGGGTGACAGAGCGAGACTTTGTCTCAAAAAAAAAAAAACAGAAAAGAAAAAAACGAGGCCGGGCGCGGTGGCTCACGCTTGTAATCCCAGCACTCTGGGAGGCCGAGGCGGCGGATCACAAAGTCAGGAGATCGAGACCACGGTGAAACCCCGTCTCTACTAAAAATACAAAAAATTAGCCGGGCATGGTGGCGGGTGCCTGTAATCCCAGCTACTCGGAGAGGCTGAGGCAGGAGAATGGCTTGAACCTGGGAGGCGGAGCTTGCAGTGAGTCGAGATCGTGCCACTGCACTCCAGCCTGGGCGACAGAGCGAGACTCCATCTCAAAAAAAAAAAATTAAAACGGCCTATAAAATGTTAACGTTGATCATTACCCAGTATCCAGTCCTATATGTTGCTTAATTCTTTTTTTTTTTTTTTCTTTTTTTTTTTAGGCAGAGTCTCACTCTGTCACCCAGGCTGGAGTGCAGTGGCGTGATCTCCGCTCACTACAAGCTCCGCCTCCCAGGTTCAAGCCATTCTCCCGCCTCAGCCTCCCAAGTAGTTGGGATTACAGGCACCTCCCACCATGCCCGGCTAATTTTTGTATTTTTAGTAGAGATGGGGTTTCACCATGTTGGGCAGGCTGATCTCGAACTCCTGACCTCAAGTGATGGGGGTCACTCAGCCTCCCAAAGTGCCGGGATTACAGGCATGAGCCACCGCACCTGGCTGGCATATCTCTTTCTTACTACATCCAGGAAACGTTTCTCCATTTTCAGGACTCATGATTGCAGTGGGCTCACCCAGATAATACGGGGTGATCCCCCTATCAAAGTCCTTAACGTTAATCACATTTGGAAAATCCCTTTTGCCAGGTAAGGTAACAGCCACAGATTCCAGGGATTAGGGCGTGAACATCTTTGGGGAGGACCGTTATTCTCCCCACCACAAGGCCGTATACCCACGGGGTAGCTTCTTCACCAGGGGAGAGATTTTTGCAGCCATGAAGCAAAGCTGTTGCCTCAAACATGGTATTTTTAAAATCAGTGAACAAGAATTGCTTACACAGCCATACCAAGCGGGGGCCAGCAGGGTGGCAGGTCTGTTCACCACTAGCTACCAAGCTTTGTGCACAAAGCAAACGTGGGCCACTAGACAGGCTGTGGCAGAATCGACTTACCTTTTTTTTTTTTTTTTTTTTTTGAGACTGAGTCTCGCTCTTGTCACCCAAGCTGAAGTGCAGTGGCACGATCTCGGCTCACTGCAACCTCCACCTCCAGAGTTCAAGAGATTCTCCTGCCTCAGCCTCCCCAGTAGGTGAGATTACAGGTACCCGCCACCACACCCCGCTAATTTTTGTATTTTTAGTAGAGATGGGGTTTCACCATGTTAGCCAGGCTGGTCTCAAACTTCTGACCTCAGGTGATTTGCCCCCCTCTGCCTCCCCAAGTGCTGGGATTACAGGCATGAGACACTGTGCCCGGCTGGAATCGACTTTTCTTTTTTCTTTCTTTTTTTTTTTTTTGAGATGTGGTTTCGCTCTTGTTGACCAGGCTAGAGTGCAATGGCGTGATCTCAGCTCACGGCAACCTCCGCCTCCTGGGTTCAAGAGATTCTCCTGCCTCAGCCTCTGGAGTAGCTGGGATTACAGGCATGTGCCACCACGCCCGGCTAATTTTGTATTTTTAGTAGAGACGGGGTTTCTCCATGTTGGTCAGGCTGGTCTCGAACTCCCAACCTCAGGTGATCTGCCCACCTTGGCCTCCCAAAGTGCTGGGATTACAGGCATGAGCCACTGCGCCCGGCTGGAATCGACTTTTCTTTTTTCTTTCTTTTTTTTTTTTTGAGATGTGGTTTCGCTCTTGTTGACCAGGCTGGAGTGCAATGGCGTGATCTCAGCTCACTGCAACCTCCGCCTCCTGGGTTCAAGAGATTCTCCTGCCTCAGCCTCTGGAGTAGCTGGGATTACAGGCATGTGCCACCACGCCCGGCTAATTTTGTATTTTTAGTAGAGACGGGGTTTCTCCATGTTGGTCAGGCTGGTCTCGAACTCCCAACCTCAGGTGATCTGCCCACCTTGGCCTCCCGAAGTGCTGGGATTACAGGCGTGAGTCATCGCACCCAGCTGGAATTGACTTGTCTTTTCTTTTTATTAATTTATTTTTTTCTGAGACAGAGTCTCACTCTGTCGCCGAGGCTGGAGTGCAGTGGTGCAATCTTGGCTCACTGCAACCTCTGCCTCCCGGGTTCAAGTGATTCTCCTACCTCAGTCTCCTGAGTAGCTGGGATTACAGGTGCGCGCCACTAGGCCCAGCTAATTTTTGTGTTTTTAGTTGAGATGGGGTTTCACCATGTTGGTCAGGCTGGTCTCAAACTCCTGACCTCGTGATCTGCCTGCCTCAGCCTCCCAAAGTGCTGGGATTACAGGCGTGAGCCACCGTGCCCGGCGGAATTGACTTTTCTATAGTGCAAGGATAACCTAGCAGTTTCTGACCAATGTTTTAGAGAACATCCTATCCCAAATACTTACATTATACAACAGCAGAGAAATTCTGTACATGATTCATCTTCTAAGTGTCTTCCTCTGTAGGAGTGGTCCCCAACCTTTTTGGCACAAGGGACTGGTTTTGTGGAAGCAATTTTTCCACAGACTGGGGCACAGTGCCCGGGGAAGGTTTCAGTATGATTCAAGCACATTACATTTATTTTGTACTTTATTTCTACTATTATTACATTGTAATATGTAATGAAACAACTGCAACCCACCATAATGTAGAATCAGTGGGAGCCCTGAGCTTGTTTTCCTGCCACTAGACGATCCCATCTGGGGGTGATGGGAGACAGTGATGGATTATCAGGCATTAGATTCTCATAAGGAGCAGACAACCTAGATCCCTCACATGCAGTTCACAACAGTTCCCGCTCCTGTGAGAATCCAGTGCCACTGCTGATCTGACAGGAGGCAGAGGTCAGGTGGGAATGCTTGCTCACCCCATCCTGTGTGGCTCGGTTCCTAACAGGGTACAGACTGGTAAGGGTCCCCGGCATGGGAGTTGGGGACCCCTGCTCTGTAGTATTTCTCTCTGAGTCACCAGCTTCCAGAGTCTCATTATTTTACCCTTTCACTTGAGTCCCAGTTTTCAGTGGGTTGGGCACTGCCTTGCTGCAATCTCTTGAAATCTGTCGGGGCCACCTATACTGTGACTGCCTTCCGTTGACACCCTCAGAGGATGCAGGTCTAAGGTGACAGCATCACAAAATGGACTTGCGGATCTCTCAGTCATTGCTGGAGAATCATTGACAAGTAAACTTTCATTTGGTTGAGGCATTAACAGTTCAGGGTTTACTTATTACTACAGCATAGCTTAACCTACCCTAAGATAGAAATCGACAGGCAATTCACAAATACACAAATGACCAATGTAGAGCTCAAAACTTGTTCAATCTTACTAGACAGGCAAATTTAAACAATATGAAGTCTTTTTATTTTTTGCCTACCTAATTGGCAAGAATTTAAAAAGGGTAAGGTGGCCGGGCACGGTGGCTCACACCTATAATCCTAACACTTTGGAAGGCCGAGGTGGGTGGATCACCTGAGGTCGGGAGTTGGAGAGCAGTCTGACCAACATGGAGAAACCCCGTCTCTACTAAAAATACAAAATTAGCAGGGCGTGGTGGTGCATGCTTCTTTCTAATCCCAGCTACTCAGGAGGCTGAGGCAGGAGAATCGCTTGAACCCGGGAGGCGGAGGTTGCAGTGAGCCGATATCGTGCCATTGCACTCCAGCCTGGGCAACAAGAGCAAAACTCCATCTCAAAAAAATTAAAAAAAAAAAAGGGGATAAGGCCCAGGTTTTGTCAATGCTCAATGCTCATTGATAACAGCATTTTGAGACTTGTTTGGCAATATTGAAATGTTTAATAGCCTTTGACTAGCAACTCTATGTCAATAATTTATCCTAAGGAAATATCCATGGGACTACCCAACACTGAAAATCAGCACATTCATCAAATTATTTACAATTGTAAGCAAAAAAGAAAGAAAGGAAAAGAAAACATAAACTTACATATAGTAATAGGACATTGGTTCAATGAATATAGGAAAATCCACAGGCTAGAATGCTATGAAGTCATCAAAAATCAGGTCTTAGGCTGGGCACAGTGACTCACAACTGTAATACCAGCACTTTGGGATGCTGAGGCGGGCGGATCACCTGAGGTCAGGAGTTCGAGACCAGCCTGGCCAACATGGCAAAACTCCGTCTCTACTAATAATAAAAAAATTAGCCAGGCGTAGTGGCGCACACCTGTAATCCCAGCTACTCAGGAGGCTGAGGCACAAGAATCGCTTGAACCCCAGAGGCAGAGGTTGCAGTGAGCTCAGACAGTGCCATTGCCCTCCAACCTGGGTGACAGAATGAAACTGTGTCTCAAAAAAAAAAAAAAAAAAAAAACAGGTCTTATGGCATTTAAAATACGGAAATATTCACAATGTAATAATGAGTTTTGAAAAACAACTCTATATGCAGTATGATTCCAATTTATGTATTTATGTATGTAAGTAAGTGTGTTTTTATTGAGACAGTCTCATTCTGTCACCCAGGCTGGAGTGCAGTGGCATGATCATGGCTTACTGCAGCTTTGACCTTCCAGGCTCAAGAGATCTTCCCACCTCAGCTTCCTGAGTGGCTATGACTACAGGCACACCACCGCGCCTGGGCTAATTAAAAAAAAATTATTGTAGAGATGGGGGTCTCACTTTGTTTCCCAGGCTAGTCTTGAAATCCTGGGCTCAAGTGATCGTCCCACTCTGGCCTCCCAAAGTGTTGGGATTACAGGTGTGAGCCACCACACCCAGCAGTCTTTTTTGGTGTTGTTTTTTTGTTTTGTTTTGAGACAGGGTCTCACTCTATCACCCAGGCTGGAGTGCAGTGATGCAATCTCGGCTCACTGCAACGTCTGCCTTCCAGGCTCAAGCCATTCTCCTGCCTCAGCCTCCAGAGTAACTGGGACTACAGGTGCACGCCATATGTCCGGCTAATTTTTTTGTTTCTTGGTTTTTTTTTTTTTTTTTTTTTGAGACGGAGTCTCGCTCTGTCACCCGGGGGGAGTGCAGTGGCGCAATCTCGGCTCACTGCAAGCTCCACCTCCTGGGTTCACGCCATTCTCCTGCCTCAGCCTCCCGAGTAGCTGGGACTACAGGCGCCCACCACCACGCCCGGCTGATTTTTTGTATTTTTAGTAGAGACGGGGTTTCACCGTGTTAGCCAGGATGGTCTCGATCTCCTGACTTCAAGTGATCCACCCACCTCGGCCTCCCAAAGTGCTGGGATTACAGGCTTGAGCCACCAGCCCACACCCATCAGTTTTTTAAATGTTTCTTTTTGAGACTCTGTTTCAAAAAAAAAAAAAAAATTATCTGTAATTCTACCTCAAAAGTCACGTTTTTGGAGACTATGTATTCATGGTAAAATGTCTATGCTGTAATCTAAGGTGAAAAAAAGATGCGGCGTCACCTGGAGTTTAAGAAGCTGCACGCAAGTATTGAATTCCTGACAATGGCCAAGAACAAATTTAGAGGGCAGAAGTCCAGGAACGTATTTCGCATAGCTAGCCAAAAAAGCTTTAAGGCTAAAAACAGAGTAAAACCAATTACCGCTAATCTTAAGAAGATACACATTATGAATGATGAAAAAGTCAGCAGAGTAAACAAAGCTTTTGGAAGTGTACAAGAGGAACTTCCACATTTCTCAAAAGGCCTTTCTCTTGATCTTCTGCAGAAAGAGCTGATTCCTCAGCAGCGTCATCAGAGCAAACCAGTTAATGTTGATGAAGCTACAAAACTAATGGCTCAGCTGTAACACACTGGTGATGCACCTAATTCTCCACAAAGACCAATAAATTAAGTGTTTTCTACCAAAAACAGATGCAATGCAGTCTATTCAGTGTATTCAGTGTGATACCAACTTTGAAAAAATATATACGTATGTATGTATGTACCTGTATAAAATGTATATTTTTCAACTAAATGTGAATGGGAAAAAATATAGTGAATTGTAACAGTGGTTTTCTTGTGAAGAGCAGCCACATGAGTTAATTTTAGAGGTTTTTTTTCCCTGTATTTTTTCTTTTTTCTTTCTTTCTTTCTTTCTTTTTTTTTTTTTTTTTTTGAGATGGAGTTTTGCTCTTGTTGCCCAGGCTGGAGTGCAGTGGCGCTATCTCGGCTCACTGCAACCTCCACCTTCTGGGTCCAAGCAATTCTCCTGCCTCAGCCTCCCAAGTAGCTGGGATTACAGGCATGCACCACCACACCCGGCTAATTTTGTATTTTTAGTAGAGATGGGGTTTCTCCACGTTGGTCAGGCTGGTCTTGAACTCCTGACCTCAGGTGATCCACCCGCCTCGGCCTCCCAAAGTGCTGAGATTACAGGCGTAAGCCACTGCTCCTGGCCTAAATTAAGTGTTTTATACAAAAAAAGATGCAATGTAGTGTATTCAGTGTGATATTAACTTTGAAAAAATATATACATATATATGTATATACCTGTATAAAATGTATGTATTTCAACTAAATGTGAATGGGAAAAATAGAATGAATTTTAACAACGGTTTTCTTGCAAAGAGCAGCCACATGGGTGAATTTTAGGGGTTTTTTCCCTATATTTTTTCAAATATTCTACAATATATGTGTATTATTATTGATCACAAAACATTGGGTCATTTAAATATATATGTAATATATAATGTAAACTAATATGATTTTTAAAAAATTTTTTGAGACAAGGTCTCACTCTGTTGCCCAGGTGGGAGTGCAGTGGTGTGATCATGGCACACTGTAGCCTCTGATTCCCGGGCTCAAGTGATCCTCCCGCCTCAGCCTCCTGAGTACCTGGGACTACAGGCACACCACGATCATGTCCAGCTAGTTTTTTAGCTTTTTTTCATAGAGATGGGGTCTTGCTGTGTTTCCCAAGATGGTCTCAAACTCTTGGCTTCCCAAAGTGCTGGGATTACAGGCCTGAGCCACCATGGCTGGCCAAATTAATATGATCACATAGCCATACAAAGTGGGGGCCAGCAGTGGGGAAGGTCAGTTCACCGCTGGCTGCCAAGCTTTGTGCACAAAGCAAGCCTCGCCCACCAGGCAGACTGTGGCAGAATCAACTTTTCTGTAGTGCCAACATGAGATGATTAACGCCAACATGAAAGTATACATAAATCCCGGCACTTTGGGAGGCCGAGGCGGGCAGATCACCTGAGGTCGGGAGATCGAGACCAGCCTGATCAACATGGAGAAACCCCGTCTCTACTAAAAATACAAAATTAGCCGGGCATGGTGGTGCATGCCTGTAATCCCAGCTACTTGGGAGGCTGAGGCAGGAGAATCACTTGAACCTGGGAGGCGGAGGTTGTGGTGAGCCAAGATTGCGCCATTGCACTCCAGCCTGGGCAACAAGATCGAAACTCTGTCGGAAAAAAAAAATAAAGAATACATAAAGGGCCATGGAAATACAACAGTTTCCAATGAGAAGTTTCTTTCTTTCTGCATTTTGGACAATTTAGAATTAAAACACCACCTTCCCTTTGCTGTCAAGCAGCCTCTGTGATTCCAGCCTCCCTGCACACACACGTGTTCCATTCATATCCATGGGGAACTGACACACAGAATGGAAGGTGTGTGCGCGCATGCGTGCATGTGTGTGTGTGTGCATGTATGTGTATATGTGTGTGTGTATGAGTGTGTGTGTGTGATTTCTTTCCCTATTTCCTTCCTTTCTGCCCTCCTTCACCCTAACATACCTTAGCCCTCACTCTTCCTGCACCTGCTGCCTTGTCCCCTGCCCTGTGTCGTTTAGAGCCTGGGCATGGCACTGCCTTTCCCTCTGCTTACGTGGATCATTGCTGTACCCCCTCCTATGTTTCCCTGTTTCTTTTAGACAGCTCGGTACAAATTAGGTACCCAATAATTGTGTAGAGGTTTGCTGGTTGATTTGTGTTTATTTCATGGTAGATCATTTACCCCGGGCCTCTCAATCCAAATAATTCCATAAGTGATAATTTTATTCTTTCCTCTTCTCCCAGATTTACACACCTATATTTCTTAGTTTCTAATTTAGGTTGGAAGATGAGATATTTCTTTGCACCACAGATGTCTCCATTCTTCAGACTTGTTTTCATTATAGCTGACATCAGAAATGGGCTTCGAGAAAAGCAGGAGATCCTCTCGCTTCAGCCTCCTGAATAGCTGGGACTACAGGTGCGTACCACCACACCTGGCTATTTTTTTTTGAGACGAAGTCTCGCTCTGTTGCCCAAGCTGGAGTGCAGTGGCGCGATCTCAGCTCACTGCAACTTCCCCTTCCCAGGTTCAAGCGATTCTCCTGCCTCAGCCTCCTGAGTAGCCAGGACTGCAGGCATGCGTCACCATGCCCAGCTAGTTTTTGTATTTTTAGTAGAGACAGGGTGTTGGCCAGGCTGGTTTCAGACTCCTGTCTTCAGGTGATCCGCCCACCTCGGCCTCCCAAAGTGCTGGGATTACAGGCGTGAGCTACCGCACCCAGCCTACATACCTGGCTAATTTTTAAACTTTTTGCAGAGATGGGGTCTTGCAATGTTGCCCAGGCTGGTTTTGAACTCCTGGCCTGAAGTGATCCTTCTGCCTTAGCCTCTGAAAATGCTGGGATTACAGGTGTGAGCCACTATATTCTAAACGAACTTTAAAACTTGTAACCAAATGACCTCACCTACAGTAATATCTATTCTCAGAGTTTTTGAATCTGGAGTTGATTGCAGATAATTTTTTATTCATATAATGACATTTCCTTAAGTGTGTACAATGCTTGAACAACTTATTATTGTTATTATTATTATTTTTGGAATCTCTCTCTGTTGCCCAGGCTGGAATACGGTGGTGCAGTCTCACCTCACTGCAACATTTGCCTCCCGGGTTCAAGCGATTCTCCTGCCTCAGCCTCCTGAGTAGCTGGGACCACAGGCGCCCACCACCATGCCTGGCTAATTTTTTTATTTTTTTAGTAGAGACAGGGTTTCACCATTTTGGCCAGGCTGGTCTCAAACTCCTGACCTTGTGATCCACCCGCCTCAGCCTCCCAAAATGCTGGATTACAGGCATAAGCCACCACACCCAGCTAACTTTTTAAACTTTTTAAAATAAATTTTAGAGATAGGATCTCTATCACTCAGGCTGGAGTACAGTAGGGGATCATGGCTCACTGCAGCCTAGAACCCTGAGCTCAAGCAATCCTCCTGCCTCAGACTCTGGAGTAGCTAGGACTACACGTGCGCCACTGCACCCCGCTATTTCTTTTTAAAATTTTTTGTAGAGGCGAAGTCTTGCTATGTTGCCCAGGCTGGTCTCGAGCCTCTTGGTTCAAGCAATCCTCTGCCTCGACCTGCCAAAGTGCTGACATTACAGGCGGGAGCCACCATGCTTGGCTTCAACTATTTATTTATTTATTTAATTTATTATTTTGTTTTTGAAACACAGTCTTGCTCTGTCGCCCAGGCTGGAGTGCAGTGGCACAATATTGGCTCACTTCAACCTCCACCTCCTGGGCTCAAGCGATCCTCCCACATCAGCCTCTCAAGTGGCTGGTACTACAGGTGTGCCACGCTCAGCTAATTTTCTGGGGTTTTTGTTTGTTTGTTTGTTTTCTGGTTTTCGTTTTTGTGTTTGTTTCTTTGTTTGAGATGGAGTTTCACTCGTGTTGCCCAAGCTGGAGTGCAATGACGCTATCTCGGCTCACTGCAACCTCCACCTCCCGGGTTCAAGCGATTCTCCTGCCCCGGCCTCCTGAGTAGCTGGGATTACAGGCATGTGCCACCACGCCCAGCTAATTTTTTTTTTTTTTTTTTTGGTACTTTTAGTAGAGACGGGTTTTTAACATGTTAGCCAGACTGGTCTGGAGCTCCTGACCTCAGGTGATCCACCTGCCTCAGCCTCTCAAAGTGCTGGGATTACAGGCGTGACCCACTTCCCCTAGCCAGTTTGAACAATTTAATCCAAGATTTTAAAACTCAAACATTTTACTTAGCTGTTCAAATATGGCTATTATTTAACAAATCATTTAATTTATATATATGGGGAAAACTATTCCTTAGATCATTTTGAAAATTGTGTTTCAAAACTTGTCTGCAAGGTTACTTTCAATACGTAAGTAACCAAGCACATTACTGGAAGTGGGGGGAAGCTAATTTTGAAGTAATCTTCAAAAGGTCAACTTTAATAAGAAATGAATAAATGCCTAATACCAAAGGGGAAAGAACTTTTCATTCTTGTGATAATGTTTACATTCCATTAATGTTCTGCTTCAATTGTTCTAAAATATTTTTATTTTAATAACATAATTATTAAAGATGCCTACTTAGGGAATTTTCCAATAATCCAAATAGCTATTTGAAAGAAAACTAGTAACATTCATCAAATTACCTCTTTACCTACGGAGAAATTATTATGTTAATTCTCCGTGGGATCTTAAATGAAAAATGTTAAACCCAGCATCCCTCTAATTTTAAAAAGGCAGATAACAATTGTGAGCATTTAAGAATTTCCTTCATCTGTCGGTAAAAAGCATCAGTTTGGGCCGGGTGCGGTGGTTTACGCCTGTAATCCCAGCACTTTGGGAGGTTGAGGCGGGCGGATCACTTGAGGTCATGAGTTCGAGACCAGCCTGGCCAAAATGGTGAAACTGGCTCTACTAAAAATACAAAAAATTAGCTGAGCTTGATGGCGCGCCTGTAATCCCAGCTACTCAGGAGGCTGAGTCAGGAGAATCTCTTGAACCCGGAAGGCAGAGGTCGCAGTGAGCCGAGATCACGCCCTGCACTCCAGCCTGGGAAACAGAGTCAGACTCCGTCTCAAAAAAAAAAAAAAAAGAAAAGAAAAGCATAAATTTAAATACATCTAAATATCTAAGTACATCCTTGTATAAATGCCTTGGGGGAGAGATGGCAGGAATTTTCACATGGTTGTGAAATTAGGGCATTTTAAAGGAACAGTAAAAACACAGGTGTAAGTAGCTTCATCTCATTCGAATTTCTTTATTGGTCATGAAAACCAATCACCGTCAGCGCGGGTAAAGGTCCTGATCTTTTTTTTTTTTTATTTTTTCACCCAGGCTGGAGTGCAGTGGCACGACCTCGGCTCACTGCAAGCTCCGCCTCCCGGGTTCACGCCATTCTCCTGCCTCAGCCTCCCGAGCAGCTGGGACAACAGGCGACCGCCACCACCCTGCTAACTTTTTTGTATTTTTAGTAGAGACCGGGCTTCACCGTGTTAACCAAGATGGTCTCGATCTCCTGACCTCCTAATCTGCCTGCCTCGGCCTCCCAAAGTGCTGGGATTACAGGCGTGAGCCACCGCGCCCGGCCAAGGTCCGATTTTTTAATAAACAAGGGAAGGGTGATGAACTGAATTCACAGCTTCAGTTTTTTTTCTCCTGGCAGCAGTGCCCACATTTCACCAGGCGAGGGCAGAAAGGAGAGACCGCCTCGCCGGTCCACATCCAGAAAGGGGCGTTCCCAAGGGCAGAAAGAGGCCGACCCTCCACCTGCACCCGCCCCAGGCCCTGCGCTTGCGTTCAAACCGTGACAAACCGTAGAGTCCTTGAGAGCCCCGGGTTACTCCTACATGGTCATATTCCCGCGCGGGATGCCGAAGTGGGGCAGATGAGGTCCGGAGCTGCTGAGGGATCCCGGGTCCTTCTGTTGGTCTGAGACCCTGGGGCGGGCGGAATCCCGGAGAAAGCCGGAGGGACTCCCCAGTGGAAGCCTGGGAGCTGCCGTTCTCCTCCCTGCCTGTGCAAACAGGAAGGGGCTGGTGATGCTGGCTGCGGGCCTCCCTCCTGGACTGCGACATTGTCACCAAATTCTATAAAGACGTCATGCAGGAAGTGATAACGTGTGCTGCGACGTTCTGGAAGTAACTCGAAGCTAAAAAAGAACAAAAAATCAATGAAAAAATGAAACTAAAGAAACAATGAGATGCTATGTCAATATCCGTAGTTATGGAATGGAAAATAAATCTTACAAAGAGATGCTGGAGTTATCTAAGAAATTTACACCATACTGGCCTGTGTGCATCAGACTTTTCTGGAGGTCATTTATTTTATTCACTTTTTTTTTTTTTATGACCAACCGAACTTTCTAATATTTTGGGCTGGAGTCCCACTAAATGAAATACCCCTTTTGAATGGCACATATGACTTTTAGGGATGCATCTTAGCATTTTTATTTTTTTATTTTTATTTTCAAAACTTCATTGATGTTTTGGAGTTTTGTTTGTTTTTTGTTTTTGTGTTTTTTGGACATGGCCTCACTCTGTCGCCCAGGCTGGAGTGCAGAGGCACGATCTGGGCTCACTGCAACTTCAAACTCCCGGGCTCAGGTGATCCTCCTGCAGCAGGACGAGCCGCAGACAAAACTCAGACACCGGATTAAAGAAGGGCTGTATTAGGCCGGGAACTTCGGCAGACTTGCAACCGAGGTCCCTGAAAAAGAAATTCTTGGCCCTTTTAAGGGCTTGTAACTCTAAGGGTCTACGTGAAAGTTTAGTGAGAGATCGAGCAAGCGTGGGGAACATGACTGGGGGCTACAGGCAACAGCTAACAGAACAGAAAGTTTTGCAATGCTTCCTCATACAATGTCTGGAATTTTTATTTATTTAATTTATTGATTTATTTTTTATTTTTTTTGAGACGGAGTCTTGCTCTGTCGCCCAGGCTGGAGTGCGGTGGCGCCATCTCGCTCACTGCAAGGTCCGCCTCCTGGGTTTACACCGTTCTCCTGCCTCAGCCTCCTGAGTAGCTGGGACTACAGGCGCCCGCCACGACGCCCGGCTAATTTTTTTGTAGATCAGGTGTTCTCACTATGTTACCCAGGCTGCTTTCGATCTATAGCGATCCTGAGCTCAAGCGATCCTCCTGCCTCGGCCTCCCAAAGTGTTGGAGTTACGGGCGTGAGCCACCGCACCCGGCTAAAAACCTGTTTGTTTGTTTGTTTGTTTGTTTAGAGACGGAGTCTTGCCCTGTCACCCAGGCTGGAATGCAGTGGCGCCATCTCGCTGACTGCATCCTCCGCCTCCCGGTTGCAAGTGATTCTCTTGCCTCAGCCTCCCCAGTAGCTGGGATTACAGGCGTGCGCCACAACACTCAGCTAATTTTTGTATCTTTAGTAGAGACGGGTTTTCACCAAGTTGGCCAGGCTGGTCTCGAACTCCTGACCCCGTGATCCGCCTGCCTTGGCCTCCCAAAGTGCTGGGATTACAGGCGTGAGCCACCGCGCCCGGCAAACTTTTTGTTTAAATCGGAGATTTTATTCTTTCAGCTGTCAGTGGAAGGAGCAGTCACGTAGGGTTAAACAGATGGAAGCCATGACGTTAGGAGAGTGAGTGAGGTCCCAGCCCAGCCACTTGTCACTGTGTGACCTCGGCCTGGTCACTGGGCCCCCGAGCTTCGGTGCGGCAGGGAGGGTCCTGGTGATGGAACAGAAACAGGGTGCGGGGCAGGGGTAATGACTCACGCCTGTAGTCCCAGCACTTTGGGAGGTCGAGACGGGAGGCGGGGGGAGTTTGAGACCCACCTGGGCAACGTAGCGAGACCCCATCTCTACAAAAAATAAAAATTAGCCCAAGAGTTCAAGGCTGCAGTGAGCTATGATCGCGCACTGCACTCCAGCCTGGGCGACAGAGCAAGATCTTGTTTCTTTTTAAAAAGAAAGAAAATAAAGGACGGAAGGATCATGGTGTGGGGAGGACTTCAGCCCCGGGCGGTTGCCCGGCGCGCGGACTCTAGCGGACTAGGGCTCCCCAGCAGCCCGGCCCGCGAGCTGGCACCGCCCGGAATCCCGCTTACGTCCAGTCCGGGGCGGCGCCTGGAGGCGGAGCCGCCCGCTGGGCTAAATGGGGCAGAGGCCGGGAGGGGTGGGGGTTCCCCGCGCCGCAGCCATGGAGCAGCTTCGCGCCGCCGCCCGTCTGCAGATTGTTCTGGGCCACCTCGGCCGCCCCTCGGCCGGGGCTGTCGTATCCTTTGGGCTGCGCGGGGCTCGGGCTGGATCCGGCGCCGGCGCCGCCGCCTGAGTGGTGGCCCTGGTCCGGGTGGAGGCCTCGGGGTCGCACGCTTCGCAGCCCCAGCGCCTCCTCGCTCAGCGCCGCGTCCCCGCCTGGGTCGCGTCTCTTCCAGGAGCCGGGGAGCGGGGAAGAGGCTGCGTCCCCCGAGGACACGCGCGGCCGCCCTGGGGTCGGGGCAATTGCCGCGTTGCCCTGCCCTCCGGGATCCCTGGGGGCCTCTGCTCCTCTCTTTGTGGAGACGTCGTTTCACCGGCGGCGCGTGACCCCGGCAGCTGTCCAGAGACCCAGAGATGTCCAATCACAGGCGCACGGTGCACAGGCGCGCAGGGCTGCCTGGAACCGGCCCAGGCAGGCAGTGACCGGGACCTCTCCGGAGGGGAGAGGACGGTGCCCTCCCGGGCAGGAGCTGGCCAGGCAGGCGCTGCCCAGGGCGGCCTCCCTGCTGGACTACGGCATTGCCACTGAGTTATATAAAGACACTATTTGGGGAAGGACAGCGGGTGAGGACTGGCGCGGCGGCACACGCCTTGCCTGTTGTCTCGGCTCTTCTGGGGGCCAAGGCCAGGAGTCCAGGGTTACAGTGAGCCGTGATGGCCAGTGCGTTCCAAAAGAGAGAAACAGAGAGAAAGAAAGGATAACATGTTAATTGATGAGAGTGACATTCCGAAAGTAACCGATTAAGCTAAAGAAACAATGCAATTCTATGTCAACTCTCTGCAGTTACCGGATAGAAAGGAGATCTTTAAAAGGAATTTCTAGGGTTTTGCTTTTTTGGTTTTTTTTTTTTTTTGAAACAGGGCCTCACTCTGTCACCCAGGCTGGAGTGCAGTAGTGGTACGATCTCGGCTCACTCCTGGGCTCAAGAGATCCTTCCACCTCAGCCTCCTAAGTAGTTGGGACTACAGGGTTGCGCCACGATGCCAGGCGAATTTATGTTGTTGTTGTTATTGTTGTTATTATTATTATTATTATTATTATTATTATTATTATTATTATTTTTGAGACGGAGTCTTGCTCTGTGGTCAGGCTGGAGTGCAGTGCCGCACTCTGCAATGTCGGCCCACTGCAACCTCCGCCTCCCAGGTTCAAGCCATTCCCCTGCCTCAGCCTCCCAAGTGTAATTTGTATTATTATTATTAGTAGTAGTAGTAGTAGCAGTAGTAGTAGTAGTAGTAGTAGTAGTAGTAGTAGTAGTAGTAGTGGTGGTAGTTTTTTTTCTGAGATGGAGTCTCTCTCTGTTGCCCAGGCTGGAATGCAGTGGCCTGATCTCAGCTCACTGCAATCTCCACCTCCCAGGTTCAAGCAATTCTCCTGTCTTAGCCTCTCCAGTAGCTGGGATTACAAATGAACGCCACCACGCCTGGCTAATTTTTGTATTTTTAGTAGAGATGGGGTTTCACCATATTGGTCAGGCTGGTCTCGAAATCCCGACCTCAGGTGATCCATCCGCCTCGGCCTCCCAAAGTGCTAGGATTACAAACGTGAGCCACCGCCCCCGGCCTAATTTGTATTTTTAGTAGAGATGGGGTTTCACCATGTTGGCCAGGCTGGTCTCGAACTCCTGAGCTCAAGTAATCCTCCTGCCTCAGCCTCCCAAAGTGCTGGAATTACAGGCATGAGCCACCGTGCCTGGCCTTCTATATTTTACTTTATTTGCCTTAATTCACATCCTAGGTAGCTCATCCCACTTCAGGGACTATTTCCTCTGCCAGTTTCCATCCTCAACAATTCCAGTAAGTAGTTTGAGTTTTGATTTTGAAATATATTATGTATATAAAAGTTTCTTGAGTGGTAATGAAGATATACCACATAATATGTTACCTGATTAGAATTTTATTATACAAATCCTCTGTTTCCAGGACTTATTCTAATTAGTGCACTTGTGGAAAATTTTGGAGACCGACTAATTTTCTGTATGTATTTTAAGATTCAGAAAGAAGGAAAAATACCAGAAAATACATAATCCGACATTTATTTATTTATTTTTAATAGAGACGGGCCCTTCCTATGTTGCCCAGGCTGGTGTTGAACTCCTGGGCTAAAGCAATCCTCCTGCCTTGGCCTCCCAAAGTGCTGGGATTGCAGCCTGAGCCATCACACCAGCCTTATAATCTGACTTTTAAAAATTCAGTTAAACATCTCATTTAAATTAACTTGTGGCCGGGCACCGTGGCTCATGCCTGTAATCCCAGCACTTTGGGAGGCCAAGGCAGGTGGATCACTTGAGGTCAGGAGTTCGAGACCAGCCTGGCCAACATCTCTACAAACCCCACCTCTACAAAATGAAAAAATACAAAAATTAGCTGGGCATGGTGGTGTGCACCTATAATCCCAGCTACTCAGGAGGCTGAAGTGGGAGAATCGCTTGAACCTTGGAAGTCAAGGTTGCAGTGAGCTGAGATCACGCCACTGAACTCCAGCCTGGGTGATAGAGCCAGACTCCATCTCAAAAAACAAAACAAAACAAAACAAATTAGCTTGTATTTGGTTATATGGACATATTAGCTAGCATCTTTGGTTTATCTTAAATCACCTTTAAAGGGGAAGATCTTGACCTTCCTAAATATTCTCATACAACCACAATTCCGATCTTAAGGAATAGGTTGGGTGATTTGAGTTTATGGGTATGCTGTACATTTATTTGGATTTTGTTACTTTACCTTCTTGGAATGCATCAACTGGACAGTTAAAAATATACAATTTATTGAATTTGTTTCCCATCTGAAAAATCATATGTATTCATTACAGAAACATCAGAGAAATAGAAGGAATTTTAAAAAATCATCCCTAATTCCATTTCTAAAGGCAATCACTGTTAAAAATTGCTTTGGTGTATTTCTTTGCAGGCTTTTCTTTTTTTCATATAGTGTCTTGGTTTTACATAATTGTAATAATATTTTATTATAATAAGCATTGTCCATACTATTTTTTATTTTATTATATTTTATTATATTTTATTTTATTTTGAGACCGAGTCTGGCTCTGTCGCCCAGGCTGGAGTGCAGTGGTGCCATCTTGCTTCACTGCAAGCTCCGCCTCCCGGGTTCACGCCATTCTCCTGCCTCAGCCTCTCCAGTAGCTGGACTACAGGCGCCAGACACCATGCCGGGCTAATTTTTTGCATTTTTAGTAGAGGCGGGTTTCACCGTGTTAGCCAGGATGGTCCCGATCTGACCTCGTGATCCGCCCACCTCAGCCTCCCAAAGCTAGGATTACAGGCATGAGCCACTGTGCCCGCCATCCATACTATTATATGGCCTTAATTTTTAATGTCTGAGTCATATTCCACTGAGTGAACATAGTGTCACTAGTTAATTTTTCTTCCACTAATGCACTTTTTTTTTTTTTTTTTTTTCTGAGATGGAGCCTTGCTCTGTCACCCAGGCTGGAGTGCACTGGTGCAATCCTGGCTCACTGCAATCTCCACCCCCACAGGTTCTAGCGATTCTCCTGCCTCATCCTCTTGAGTAGCTGGGATTACAGGCACGCTAATTTTTGTATTTTTAGTAGAGATGGGGTTTCATCATGTGAGTCAGGCTGGTCTCGAACTCCCGACCTCAGGTGATCCACCTGCCTCAGCCTCCCAAAAAGCTGGGATTACAGGCATGAGCCACTGTGCCCGGCCCACTAATGCACTTGTTTTGGTGACATAAAGCGTAAGTTTTCAGATTATTTCCTTGGTCTTAGAAATGCTGAATTGAAGAGCATGAACGTTTCCTAGGTTCTTGTTTTTGTCTTTGTTTTTGTTTTTTGAGACGGAGTCTGGCTCTGTCGCCCAGGCTGGAGTGCAGTGCCATGATCAGAGCTCACTGCAACCTCCGCCTCCCAAGTTCAAGCGATTTTCCTGCCTCAACCTCCCGGGTAGCTGGGATTACAGGTGCCCACTACCATGCCTGGCTAAACTTTGTGTTTTCAGTAAACATGGGGTTTCACCATGTTGGTCAGGTTCGTCTCAGACTCCTGACCTCAGGCGATCCACCTGCCTCGGCCTCCCAAAGTGCTGGGATTATAGGCATGAGCCCCCACGCCTAGCCTCAGGTTCTTGATACATATTTTTAGGATGTAATTTAAATTTTTTTTTTTTTTTTGAGACAGGGTCTCACTCTGTCGCCCATGCTGGAGTGGAGTGGCACAACCAGTATTTTTTGTAGAGACAGGGTTTCATCATGTTGCCTGGGCTAGTCTCAAACTCCTGACCTCAAGTGATCCACTTGCCTCGGCCCGCTAAAGTGCTAGTATTAGAGGTGTGAGCCATTGTGCCTAGCCTGTAATTTAAAAATGTAACTTATTTTGGGATTCTTTTTCTCCTTTAGGTATACTCTGGATAATAACGTTCTAACCCTGGAACAGAGAAAATTTTATGAAGAAAATGGGTTTCTAGTAATCAAAAATCTTGTACCTGATGCCGATATTCAACGCTTTCGGTACAGTAACACTATTTGTTATTTTACAATAGTATGTATTGTGTGCATGTAATGAGAATACAAGGTGGATTCGCTCCTGGCTTTACAGATGTTTTTTAATGATTTGGTTTGTTGGGAAGTGTTTAGAAGCATGGGCTCTGGTGCCAGACTGGCTTTTTATTTTTTATAGAGAAAGGTTCTCACTCTGTTGTGTAGGCTGAGTGCAGTGGTGCGATCATAGCTTACTGCGGCCTCAAGTTCCTGGGCTCAAGCAATCCTCTTGCCTCAGCCTCCTGAGTAGCTGGGACCACAGTTGTGCACCACCATACCCAGCTAATTTTTTATTTCTTTGTTTTTAGAGACAGGGAGTCTCACTATGTTGCCCAGGCTGGTCTTGAACTCCTGGCCTCACCCTCCTGAGTTGCTGGGATTACAGTCGGGAGCCACCATGCCTGGGCTTCAGTCTCAGCTCCACCACTTAATATCATGTGTCCTGGGGCAATTTACTTCACATCCCATGCCTCTGTTTCCTCATCTGTAAAATGGGGATAATAATAGCACTTATGTCCTAGTGTTGTTATTAGGACTAAATACGGTGAAATATATGGAAACCACTTTGAAGAGAGCTGGGCACATGGTAAGTGTTACAGAAATGTTTGCTGTTATTATTATTACAATGTAACCAAATTATAAAAAGACTTCCCTACTGGTATGCTAAACTAGGGAATAATTTAATTCTGGGAATGGATTCTAGCCAGACAGTTTCTCCTCCCTTTCATTGGAATTATTCTACCTCAAGCTGGAGGCCAACTTAGTGCAGAGAAACCACCCCTCAAGTCTGCAACCCTTTCCACAGAGGAGGGCAGGGCAGGTGCTTGGAGCCAGCGGTAACGACATCATTTGCAAATTAAATTTTCTAGGAATGAGTTTGAAAAAATCTGCAGAAAGGAGGTGAAACCATTAGGATTAACAGTAATGAGAGATGTGACCATTTCGAAATCCGAATATGCTCCAAGTGAGAAGATGATCACGAAGGTCCAGGATTTCCAGGAAGATAAGGAGCTCTTCAGATACTGCACTCTCCCCGAGGTCAGAGACCACCCTTGCTTTGCGTCGGCTTAATTGCCAGTGTGTATGTCTGCCTGTAAAACCCGCTGATTTGGCCGGGCGCAGTGGCTCACTCCTGTAATCCGAGCACTGTGGGAGGCTGAGGCAGGTGGATCGCTTGATCCCAGGAACCACTGCTCTTAGAGCTGGATATGGAAAGGAGTTGAATTGAGTAAAATCAGTGGGTTTTATTTTGTTTTCTTTTCTGGAGACAGAGTCTCGCTCTGTTGCCCACGCTGGAGTGCAGTGGTGCGATCTCGGCTCACTGCAACCTCTTCCTCCCAGGTTCAAGTGATTATCCTGCCCCAGCCTCCCAAGTAGCTAGGTTTACAGGTGCCTGCCACCACACCTGGCTAATTTTTGTATTTTTAGTAGAGAAAGGGTTTCACCATATTGCTCAGGCTGGTCTCGAACTTCTGACCTCGTGATCCACCCACCTCGGCCTCCCAAAGTGCTGGGATTACAGGCATGAGTCACTGCGCCTGGCCAGTGTCCTACATTTCTGAAGAATGGGACCAGTATCTGGTGGTCTATGCCATGATTTTAGGAGGTATAAATTATTTTAATAGATATTTATTTTTAAATGTATTGGAAAAAAACTCAACAGTCTACCAAACTCATGATTTCAAAAATGTTGTTAATTAGGACAAGATTAAATAAAAAGGCCAGGCGAAGTGGCACTTTGGAAGGCTGAAACAGGAGAATCACTTGAGGCCAGGTGTTCAAGACCAGTCTGGCAACATAGTGAGACCATTGTCTATATTGGAAAAAAAGAAAAAAACAAAGATTGAATAAGAGAAGTGAGCTAACTGCCGGGCGCGGTGGCTCATGCCTGTAATCCCAGCACTTTGGGAGGCCGAGGTGGGCAGATCACGAGGTCAGAAGTTTGAGACCAGCCTGAGACACATGGTGAAACCCAGTCTCTACTAAAAATACAAAAATTAGCTGGGCATGGTGGCGGGCGCCTGTAATCCCAACTACTCAGTAGGCTGAGGCAGGAGAATCGCTTAAACCCGGGAGGCAGAGGTTGCAGTGAGCCGAGATCATGTCATTGCACCTAGCCTGGGCAACAGAGCGAGACTCCATCTCAAAAAAAACAAAAACAAAAACAAAAAACAAAAAACAAGTGAGCTAACTAAGGGTAGGGAAATCATTGGCTAAATAACAGTACAAGTTATGTCAGAAGTTGTGAGGATGGCTCTTGAATGGCTGGCATTTAGAAAATCCCAGCCTAGATGAATACAAAAAAATACCAGGCTTTATAAAAAGCAAGTGTGTGCCTGACTGCTAGGCTTTTAATAACCTTTCCAGGGTTTCATACTCAAATTGCCAATATTCCTTATACACAAGAGATCAAAAAGTGAGGAAGCAGTAGAAGGTGGCTTATTTTTTGGAGTCTTTTTTTTGCAGAATCAAAATTTGAATATCATGGGTTGTTTTATTTTCTTCTTCTTCTTCTTTTTTTTTTTTTTTTTTGAGACAGAGTCTCACTCTTGTTGCCCAGGCTGGACTGCAGTGGTATGATCTCAGCTCACTGCAACCTCTGCCTCCTGGGTTCAAGTGATTCTCCTGCCTCAGCTTCCCAAGTAGCTGGGATTACCGACGTGTGCCACCATGCCCGGCGAATTTTTGTATTTTTAGTAGAGATATGGTTTTGCCATGTTGGCCAAGCTGGTTTTGAACTCCTGACCTCAAGTGATCCGCCCGCCTCGGCCACCCAAAGTGCTAGGATTACAGGTGTGCGCTAACGCACCCGACCTCAGTGTTGAGCCCTTTCTGCTTTTTCCCTCTCCGTTGCTGGGTTCTGTACACAAGGTAGCGGCAGCCCAGCTCCCAGGCCCCACGACTAAACCAGCTCTCCCTGTCACGGTTCCCCATGTTAGCCTTTTCTTCATAATGCAGTGTCCCTCGGCCACTCTGACCCATGTCATTACTGGGTTAACATTTTTCATCTAACTCCTGGGACCTGCTTTGCTTGTTCACTCTTGCTTCCCCATTTCCCGTCACCTCCTGGTTCCCAGATCTCAGTAATGAGTTGTCAAGTGCCAAGCGTCCCCGATTGTCAAATGTCCTCCAAGCCACCATTCTGCTTTCTTCCGGGCTATTCATGACAGCTGTGAATTGTATGGGACTCTTCGTATGCAGAGGCTCCAATGAGGAAGAGGAAACTGCCCTCCCACTGAGCAACCTTCTGTTGCTTGGGTTGACAAGAAAGCTATATTAATATCTCATCGGAACTCCTATGTTTCTTGTAGAGAAAAAATGGTTTCATTCCCAGCTAGCTCAGAAAAAGCCCATTTCATTCCGTGTTATAGATTTAGAATGATTTCCAATGGCTGGGTTTTTCATGCTTTGTTTGCAATGTTGTGAAATACCGCTTGGTTCTTAAACTATTGCCTTCTTGGTTCTTGTGTGGATAGCTACTGTACTTTGTACCAGTTGTCAATACTTCTGATTTCCCACAAGGTTTGTTTTTGTTTTTTTTTTGCTTTCTTAGATTCTGAAATATGTGGAGTGCTTCACTGGACCTAATATTATGGCCATGCACACAATGTTGATAAACAAACCTCCAGATTCTGGTAATTGTAAGGGAGAAGAAAAAAAAATGGTTTCATTAAAATGTGTAAGGTTGGCTGGGTGCAGTAACTCATGCCTGTAATCCCAGCATTTTAGGAGACCAAGGGAGGAAGATCTCTGAGGCCAGGAGTTTGAGAGTGGCCTGGGCAACATAGTGAGGCTCTGTCTCTAAAAATAAAATTTAAAAATATCCAGGCATGGTGGTATGCACTTGTAGTCCCTGCTATTGGAAGGCTGAGGTGGGAGGATCACTTGAGCCCAGGAGTTGAAGGCTGCAGTGAACCTATAATGGCATGCTCTCCAGCCTGCGTGACACAGTGAGACCCTATCTCTACATAATAAATAAAACAAAACAAAACAAAATAATAAAATAGCTGATGTCTAACTGTAATCATGTGTACAACTGTCAAACTTTGGATAAGGAAGTCTTAAAATAACTTACACTATAACAACAGTGAAATGTGGTAATTATTTCAGATATTAACTGTAGGACTGTTGCTGAATTTTCAGATGACTGGCTCCCCAAAAATGCAGTTTAACCGACATAACTGTTCATATATCAAAGGTTCCTGCCATTCGACGTCTCTAAGCTTGATCAGCTCTTTTTAGCTGTGATAGTGTGGATTCTTGCATTCCTGATAGGAAGACATTATTATTACTAACACAATTAAAATTGTTACTATGAGTCACAAACTATAGTGGTCTTTTTTTTTTTTTTTTTTTTTTTTGAGATGGAGTTTTGCTCTTGTTGCCCAGGCTGGAGTGCGATAGCGCGATCTTGGCTCACTGCAACCCCCACCTCCCAGGTTCAAACAATTCCTGATTCTCCTGCCTCAGTCTCCCAAGTAACTGGGATTACAGGCATGTGCCACCAAGCCTGGCTAATTTTTGTACTTTTAGTAGAGACAGGGTTTCGCCATGTTGGTCAGGCTGGTCTCGAACTCCTGACTTCAGATGATCCACCTGCCTTGGCCTCCCAAAGTGCTGGGATTACAGGTGTGAGCCACCGCGCCCAGCCTATAGTTGTCTTTAAAATGTCTTGTGCTTGCTAAAATGTAGAATCTAAGACCTCATTGGCAGACAGACTGATTGAGAAATATAACCCAGGTTTCTGTATTTTAATAACCTTCCTCAAGCTGGGCGTGGATGTGCACCTGTGGTCCCAACTACTCAGGAGGCTGCGGGGGGAGGATCGCTGGAGCCCAGGAGTTCAAGTCCAGAGATTGTAGTGCAGATCACTTGGACTACACTGGGAAATTCCTCTGTGCCTGCAGTAAAAATCAGCCATGAGAGAGTCCCCCTATCCTTTCTGCCTTTTCTTCCTTCTGATCTGCAGGAGGGGTTTATGTGATAGAAGGCAGCTTAGCATTACCAGGTCTCTCCCTCCTTGAGGAGAGCAGGTGTTCGGGAGCCACACTCAGGGAGCAAACCAGGGGAAAATGTCAGTGTGGTCATGGGCACTCCGACTGGACATGGAATGACTATAGTTGTGGGGGGTGAGGACCTCTTAGATAACTTTTTTTATTTTTATTTTTTTTGAAATGGAGTCTTGCTCTGTTGCCCAGGCTGGAGTGCAGTGGCTCAATCTCGGCTTACTGCAACCTCTGCCTCTGGGGTTTGAGTGATTCTCCTGCCTCATCCTCCTGAATAGCTGGGATTACAGGTGCCCACCACCACACCCAGCTAATTTTTTTTTTTTTTTTTTTTTTTTTTTTTTGGTATTTTTAGTAGAGACAGGGTTTCACCATGTTGGTCAGGCTGGTCTCGAACTCCTGACCTCAGGCAATCTACCCGGCTCAGCCTCCCAAAGTGCTGGGATTACCGGCGTGAGCCACCGTGCCCGTCCTGTTTTGTGTGTTTTTTTTTCTTTTTCTTTTCTTTTTTTTTTTTTTTTGAGACAGAGTCTCACTCTGTCGCCTAGGCTGGAGTGCAGTGGTGCGATCTTGACTCACTGCAACCTGCTGCCTCCTGGGTTCAAGCGATTCTCCTGCCTCAGCCCTCAGCCTTCCAAGTAGCTGGGAGTACTGGTGTGCACCACCATGCCCAGTTAATTTTTGTATTTTTGTAGAGACGAGGTTTCATCATGTTGGCCAGGCTGGTCTCAAATTCCTGACCTCAAGAGAGCTGCCTGCCTCAGCCTCCCAAGGTGCTGGGATTACAGGTGTGAGCCACTACACGTGGCTTAGAACTTTTTTTGACATCAGCCACTTCAAAGGGGATTTCAAACTTGACTCCATATCACTCTCTTCAATGTAATTAATGCAACTGGTTTTTGAACATGCATTACTGCATGCTAGGTACTGTGCCCAATCCAGGGTCACAAAAGAATAAAGCACAAGGCCGGGCGTGGTGGCTCACGCCTGGAATCCCAGCACTTTGGGAGGCCGAGGCGGGCGGATCACGAGGTCAGGAGATCAAGACCATCCTGGCTAACACAGTGAAACCCCGTCTCTACTAAAAATACAAAAAATTAGCCGGGCGTGGTGGCGGGCGCCTGTAGTCCCAGCTACTCGGGAGGCTGAGGCAGGAGAATGGCGTGAACCTGGGAGGCGGAGCTTGCAGTGAGCCGAGATCGCGTCACTGCACTCCAGCCTGGGCAGCAGAACAAGACTCCGTCTCAAAAAACAATAACAACAAAGAATAAAGCACAACAGAGATGAGGATGTTATACCGCTTGCTGGAAAATAGTGTGCATAAGTACTTAGCTACCAGCAACCCGGAAGAAGGGAGTGCGGGATTTGAAGATGTGGAGCCAGTGTGTTGATTTCCAATTTGGTGTTTATCTCTCCGGGGCTGATTTTCTCTAGCATTATTTCATTTGTTTGGTTCTTCTGGGGACAGGTCATTGTTTTTTCAGGCAAAGGATAAGAATTCTGAGACCAGCTTTTTTTTTTTTTTTTTTTTTTTTTTGGTTGGGGGTGGGGGACAGGGACTCGCTCTCTGTCACCCAGGCTGTAATGCAGCAGTGCAATCATAGCTCACTGCAGCCTCGACCTCCAGGCTCAGGTGATCCTCCCACCTCAGCCTCCCAAGTAGCTGTGACTACAGGTGCATGCCACCACACCCGGCTAGTTGTTTTTGTTGTTTTGTTTTGTTTTGTTGTTTTGTTTTCTGTAGAAACGGAGTCTCACTGTGTTTCCCGGGATGGTTTTGAACTCCCAGGCTCAAGCCATCCATCTGCCTCAGCCTCCCACTTTGGGATATATTTTTATATCCCAAAGTGCTGGGGTTACAGGCGTGAGCCACTGCACTCGGCCTCGAGTATCCTTTAGTAGCAGGTTTTCTTTTCAGGCAAGAAGACGTCCCGTCACCCCCTGCACCAGGACCTGCACTATTTCCCCTTCAGGCCCAGCGATCTCATCGTTTGCGCCTGGACGGCGATGGAGCACATCAGCCGGAACAACGGCTGTCTGGTTGTGCTCCCAGGCACACACAAGGGCTCCCTGAAGCCCCACGATTACCCCAAGTGGGAGGTAGGTCTGCCCGGCGGCTGAGTCTTGATCCGAATCTCCTTCGCAGTTTCTGTTTCACATCAGTACCTCTAAAGAGTTTACAAATGAGATGGCATTTCCTTTCTGAGCAAAACATTGTCCTAAGATTTGCAGTGAGGATCAGAGAAAGTTCAAGGATGTCAGAGAAAACATTCATCACACCTATTTTCAACACTTTTTTTGTTTGTTTGTTTTTGAGACAGGGTCTTGCTCAACTCACTGCAACCTCCAACTCCCAGGTTCAAGCCATCCTCCCGCCTCAGTCGCCCTAGTAGCTGGGACTACGGGTGTGCACCACCACGCCCGGCTAATTTTTGTGGTTTTAGTAAAGACAGGGTTTTGCCATGTTGGCCAGGCTGGTCTTGAACTCCTGACCTCAGGTGATCTGTTCACCTCGGCCTCCCTAAGTGCTGGGATTAAAGGCATGAGCCACTGTACCTGCCCTTAACACGTGTTTGAAAGCCAGCCAAGGTGGGGAGCTTGGGTAGGTACTGTATAGGATCCGAGATTGTAAGTCCTAGCTGCAGAGGTAAGACATAAACCCTTCGACCCCAGATGTGTGTGGTAGACACCAAGTCAGTCTTACTCACTAACTGATGGCTCTCAGAGTAAGGAAGGAGAGATTGTCTCCTTGCAACTGCAGAGACCAGCAAAGGATCTGGGGAGGCTGGTGTCTGACCTGAGCCTTGCAGGACAGTGTACAATGTCCCATAGGGAAGAGTCGATATAGGAAGGCACAAGGTCAAGGGCAAGCCTGAACTTGACCAAAGAACAGGAAAGACCCAGGGAGCTTGCAGTCTAGATGGGCTGGGCGCTGGGGGTGTATTTTGGGGAGCAGCAGAGGAGGTGAGCCCAAAAATGTACATTAGGACCAGATTAGAAAAGACTGTTTTACTAACAAGTCTGCAGTTTATTTGGGGGAAGAATGGGAACTTTTTAGTTCAAACTTTTAGGAAGATCGAAGACCCTTTTTGTTTTTTTGTTGTGTTTTGTTTTGTTTTGTTTTTGAGGAGTCTCACTCTGTCACCAGGCTAGAGTGTAATGGCACGTTCTCGGCTCACTGCAACCTCTGCCTCCTGGGTTCAGGTGATTCTCCTGCCTCAGACTCCCGAGTAGCTGGGATTATAGGCGCGCACCACCACACCCAGCTAATTTTTGTATTTTTAGTAGAGACGGGATTTCACTATGTTGGCCAGGATGGTCCTGATCTCTTTAACTCGTGATCCGCCCACCTCTGCCTCCCAAAGTGCTAGGATTACAGGCGTGAGCCACCACACCTGGCTGAAGAGCTTTTAATTAAAAAACAAACAATTAAACAAATAAACAGTTTCATTGAGGTATAATTGTCATGTAAATTGTACATATTTTGCATGTATAATTTGATCATTTTCCACACACACATACCTGTGAAATCATCACCACAATCAAGATACTCCATCCTTCTCCCTGCTCTAGGCAACCACTGAGCTGCTTTCTGTTACTGCAGGTTAGTTTGCATTTTCTAAAATGTCATAGACATGTAATCACATAGTATAGATTTTTTTGTCCCGTTCTGGCTTCCTTCACTCAGTGTAGTGATTTTGAGGTTCATTGATGCTGTTGTGTATGATAGTAGTTTTTTGTTGTTTTTTTTTTTTTTTTTGAGACAGAGTCTCACTCTGTCACCAGGCTGGAGTGCAGTGGCACGATCTTGGCTCACTGCAACCTCCGACTCCCTTGTTCCAGCAATTTTCCTGCCTCAGCCTCCCGAGTAGCTGGGACTACAGGCACAAGCCACCATGCTCAGCTAATTTTTATATTTTTAGTAGAGACGAGTTTTCACTATGTTGGCCAGGATGGTCTCGATCTCCTGACTTCGTGATCTGCCTGCCTCGGCCTCCCAAAGTGCTGGGCTCACCGCGCCTGGCCAACAGTAGTTCTTTCCCTTCCCTTGCTGAGTAGTATTCCATTGCATGGCTGCACCGTGAACCATGGTTTGTTCATCCATTCAGCTGCTGATGCTTGGAAATGTTAAATGCATTTGAGCTCATGAGTGATGGGATCAAATCGGCTCTTCAAGGACAGTAATGTCACGTTCTGGTGCAGGACGCGTTAGAGGTATAGGCATCTAGAAGCAAAGAAACCAGAGAGATGACTATTAACGCGTTAGGTCTAAGGTGAAAAGACCCTGTGGGAGCCAAAGTGGGAGGATCGCTTGAGCCCAGGAGTTCAGGACCAGCCTGGGCAACACGGTGAGGTCTCATTTCTAAAAATAATAATAATAATAATTAGCTGGGCATGGTGGCGCATGCATGTAGTCCCAGCTATTCCAGAGGCTGAGGCAGGAGGATTACTTGAGCCCAGGAATTCGAGGCTGCAGTGGGCTATGTTGGTGCCACTGCACTCCAGCCTGGGTGACAGAGCAAGTTCCCGTATCAAAAGAAAAAGAAAAGATCCTGGGCTGGGCGCAGTGGCTCATGCCTGTAATCCTAGCACTTAGGGAGGCTGAGGTGGGCGGATCACTTGAGGTCAGGAGTTCGAGACCAGCCTGACCAACATGGAGCAACCCTGTCTCTACTAAAAATACAAAATCAGCCTGGTGTGGTGGCGTGCGCCTGTAGTCCCAGCTACTCAGGAGGCTGAGGCAGGAGAATAGCTTGAACCCAGGAGGTGGAGTTTGCAGTGAGCTGAGATCGCGCCACTGCATTCCAGCCTGGGCAACAAAGCAAGACTCCATCTCAAAAAAAAAAAAAAAAGAAAAGAAAAGATCCTGGAATCCCATGATGCTGCGAATGGAAAGAGCCCCCATTGTTAAAGCAGGGAGAATGAGTTGTAGTTCGATAGGAAATGAGGAACATGGTTTTAGGAACTCCTAACTCGTCTGGACACAGTGGCTCACGCCTATAATCTTAACACTTTGGGAGGCCGTGGCGGGTGGATCACTTGAGGTCAGGAGTTTGAGACCAGCATGGCCAAGATAGTGAAGCCCTATTTCTACTAAAAATACAAAAATTAGCCAGGCATGGTGGTGTGTGCCTGTACTCCCAGCTATTCGGGAGGCTGAGGTAGGAGAATTGCCTGAACCTGGGAGATGGAGGTTGCAGTGAGCTGAGATCGCACCACTGCACTCCAGCCTGGGCGACAGAGCAAGACTCCATCTCAGTAATAACAATAATAATAATAATAGAACGTCTCAGATTTCTTGCACCAATAATTAGTGTCAAATGAAAATATGTGAGTGTCTGGATCCTGATATAAAACCATTTAATGTGAAACTCATCAGTGAAGCCAAGGTTTAAAGTTTGGTGCATGCAACTGCAGTGGGCTTTGGCTGACAGAAGGCAAAGGGAAAAGTTTGCAGGGCTTCCAGAGCGTGTGGAGTCTCAGATACCCTGCTCAGATGCAGAGTGGGAGGTATGATTAGCTTAGTGTGGGTCACACATTCACCCTGGCCAGGAGAGAAGGGCTCTGGGTCAGAGTCTCAGCACTGTCTAAGAGGGATGTCGTCATTCCCAGAAGGAACTGGGGATGCTCTTAGGAAGAGGAATGGGCTGCTTCCCTTACCCTGACTCCTAAGGTGCTTCTCATGTCAATTTCTTTAATAAAGACATAACCGCATTACCTAAAGTAGCAACTAATTTGGGAAATAGTTACAAACAAACACAGTGTTTTAATTTACTATTCTTTCATTATTCTGGATGTAACATAAGTGCCTTTGAGCTCAGAAAAATTGAGCATTTTCTCCCCCCTATTTTGGGGAAATAGCTTCTCAGAGACACTCCTGAGTAAGAGATGAAGGATTTATTTAAAGTTCTGGGCGAGGAGGAGAACACACTGGGAACACTCACAGTTTCAGGCTGGAAATGCCCAAGAGATAGGTGGTTGCCTGCATTAACCACAAAAGGCAAAGCTAAGCTAGATCTTCATGTATAATGCAGTCATGAAGGGCAGGTGGAAATTCCACACTGTTCATTTCCTCCAAAAAATCAGTGATTTTAATATCAACATGTGACTTCTTTTTTTTTATTACCATTATTTTTCGAGACAGAGTCTTGCTCTGTTGTCCAGGCTGGAGGGCAGTGGTGTGATCATGGCTCACTGGAACCTCCCCCTCCCGGCTCAATCGATCCTCCCACCTCAGCCTCCTGAGTAGCTGGGACCACAGGCTGGCACCACCACGCCCAGCTAATTTTTGCAGTTTTTGTAGAGATGGGGTTTTGCCATGTTGCCCAGGCTGATCTCAAACTCCTGAGCATAAGCAATTCTCCCAACTTGGCCTCCCAAAGAGATGGGATTACAGGCATGAACCACCATGCCCGGCCAAAATGTGACTCTTAAAAACCAGATATCTGAGAGGCTTTTGTATACTGAAAAAAATGTAAGCATTTAATTTAGACATTTATTTCTCTTGGGAGAGAGAAATGCTTTCTTTCCCTGATGTTTGCTTTCCCTGATGAACCATTGACAATGTTTTTAATTATGGTACTCCCTCAAATGTAGACTTCACTTGCCTCTTGTTCTAGGGGGGAGTTAACAAAATGTTCCACGGGATCCAGGACTACGAGGAAAACAAGGCCCGGGTGCACCTGGTGATGGAGAAGGGCGACACTGTTTTCTTCCATCCTTTGCTCATCCACGGATCTGGTCAGAATAAAACCCAGGGATTCCGGAAGGTAAGCATTCACATTGCTGCACCTGCTGCAGAAGTGTGGGTTAGAAACAAAAATTGTATTCAATTCATTGAATTCAAATTAATTGAATAAAATTTTAATTAAATTGCATTAACATTTTAAAGATTTGTGGCTTTTAACCAACCTGGACTTTAGTCCAGTTTATTTACCAGGAAATATATTTGCTTACCTTGGGCTTTCTGTGCTCTTATCAGTAAGAAGCCAGGTGACCTCAGGATCCTAACCTTGTCAATATTGATTATGGGCCGGGCGCGGTGGCTCATGCCTATAATCCCAGCACTTTGGGAGGCCAAGGCGGGTGGATCACGAGGTCAGGAGATCGAGACTATCCTGGCTAACACAGTGAAACCCCATCTCTACTAAAAATACAAAAAATTAGCTGGGCGAGGTGGCGGGCGCCTGTAGTCCCAGCTACTCGGGAGGCTGAGGCAGGAGAATGGCGTGAACCCCAGGGGGTGGAGTCTGCAGTGAGCCGAGATCGCGCCACTGCACTCCAGCCTGGGCGACAGCGAGACTCCGTCTCAAAAAAAAAAAAAAAAATTGATTATGAAAGCCAGGTGCAGTGGCTCATGCCTGTAATTCCAGCACTTCCGGAGGCTGAGGCGGGAGGATCACTTGGGACCAAGAGCTCTAGACCAGTCTGGGCAACATGGCGAGACCCCACTTCTACTAAAAAAGAAAAAATCACTGTTGTCTCCTGAGGCCATGGGTTAGGGGCCAAATTTCGTCTTCCATTCATTCATATTTCCACCAGCCTCATCAGGGTCAGGATTAGGGTGGGACAAGTTGGGGCACTCTCTCCAGGGGTAAAATGTAAGGGGATGCCAAAAAAAGACTCTGCAATCGAGTTTAGTAACATTTTAATGCGAAATTTAAAAAAATCAAAATTAATGCAAAATACCCAATGTATTGGCTGCGCACAATGCCAAAAGTTTAAATAAAAGACACTATTGGACCCCACACTAGCACAACCTTCAGAGCTGTGCAAGTAGCGAGGTGCAGGCACAACGACACAAATCATGTTGTGGGTTTTAATATATAGACTTGGCAATTTTCCTTTTTTCTTTTTTTTTTTTTTTTGAGGTGGAGTCTCACTCTGTTGCCCAGGCTGGATTGCAGTGATGCAATCTCAGCTGACTGCAACCTTGGCCTCCCAGGTTCAAGCAATTCTCCTGCCTCAGCCTCGTGAGTAGCTGAGACTACAGGCACACGCCACTATGCCCAGCTAATTTTTGTATTTTTTAGTAGAGATGGGGTTTCCCCAGGTTGGCCAATCTGGTCTCGAACTCCTGGCCTTGAGTGATCGTCTCACCTTGGCCTCCCAAAATGCTAGGATGACAGATGTGAGCCATCTCGCCTGGCCCAATGTTTTTTAATGCTTTTATTTTAAAACATTTTATTATTTGTTTATATATTTATTTGAGACAGCATCTTGCTCTTTTGCCCAGGCTGGAGTGCAGTGGTGCAATCATAGCTCACTGCATCTTGGAACACTGAGGCTCAAGCCATCCTCCCACCTCAACCTCTCAAGTAGCTGGGACTACAGGCATGCATGACCACACCTGGCTAATTTTATTTTTTCATTTTTTGTACAGACATGGTCTTGCTATGTTGCCCAGGCGAGTCTTGAACTCCTGGCCTCAAGTGATCCTCCTGCCTTGGCCTCCCAGAGTACTGGAATTACAGGCATGAGCCACCGTGCCCAGGCTTAATGACTTTAATGTTCTGGGAAAATATTACTATAATTTCATAAAGATACAGATATAGGGGTGCGTGTTTTCCCTTTGCCTTGGGCTCTGTTACAGTGCCGTATGGCACCAGGGCTTACAGAGGCAATGGAGTTTGTGACTCCACTCCCTAGAAATTTGTTGTTTGGGGCAAAGTAGAAAGTCTTTCTGACAAGTGTGATCACTTGTGACAAAAAAGGTAAGTTTTAACGATTGCCTTGCAGCTTAGATCTGTTTATAACTTTTTCTAAAATAGGGAGAACCAAGCAATTTCATCCTTACCCTCAGAAGGAAGCAAGAGGGGTAATATATGTCACTGGTATTGGCTTTTAAATGTCCTTTTGATTTGAGAGAAGGTGTCTGCATTATTTTCTATCTCAAGGTATTTTTAGTTCTTTTCATAATCTATTGCCACTGAAATAACAATTCATCCCAAATTGGACCAGGTAACTAACTTATGAGATAAACTGCCGTGGAATGCAGTCCTTCTTAAGACTTTGGGATATTCATTCATTAGGAAAATAAAATGCTAAAAAAAAAAAAAACTAAATACCTCTTACTGACATAATTCCATTCCCTCTCCCATATATACCTTTCAAAAATACATGTCACATCTGGTTAACGATCTTTTGAAATTTCTCAATTAACTTCTAGCTGGAAACAAAAACAGGCTTAGTTACAAAGAGATTGACACAGGATGCAATGGACCTGACTTTCCACTTAGAAATCAAATACTGAGTGAAATAAATGACTTTCTAAAAGAAAGACTCCCTGCTTGGTCACTGGTATTCATGGGATGTTTTTCTCCAATATCAATTTGTTCACTTTGCACAGGCAATTTCCTGCCATTTCGCCAGTGCCGATTGCCACTACATTGACGTGAAGGGCACCAGTCAAGAAAACATCGAGAAGGAAGTTGTAGGAATAGCACATAAATTCTTTGGAGCTGAAAATAGCGTGAACTTGAAGGTATGTTTGTATACAATAGCAAGGTAAAAATCTCAGGTTTTTCTTTTCTTCAGATGCTTCATAATTCTCATACCTAGTTTATTTGACAGTATATAGTGCTTGGGTTTAGATTCATTTTAGGGACATCGCTGAGCCCCCACCAAAAATGACAATGGAATTTCCATTTACACTTGTGCCCCCGTGCAGGAGGCTTGAGAACTTCCTGCTGCTTCTTTATGTCTTGGGGCTGTCCAGAGGTGTGCTGGCTGTCCTGTTTCACACAGGACAGTAAAGGAAAACAAAACTACAGATTGAGATGAGAGAAAATCAAAGACAAAACCTTGCCTTCTGGCTGGGCATGGTGGCTCATGCCTGTAAATCCCAACACTTTGGGAAGCCAAAGCAGGAGAATCACTTGAGCTCAGGAGTTGGAGACCAGCCTGAGAAACACAGTGAGACTCCATCTCTACTAAAAAAGAAATAAAAATAAAAATTAGTCAGGTTGGGTGGAGCATAGCTGTAGTCCCAGCTACTCGAAGGCTGAGTTGAAAGGCTCACTTGGAGCTTGAGGTCAAGGCTGCAGTGAGCTGATTGCACTACTGCACTCCAGCCTGGGTGACAGAGTGAGACCATGTGTCAAAAAAAAAGCCTTCTGAAGGGATAGAAGGAAAGTTATAGGTTTGAGATCCAATCATAGGCCATGTTTATTAATATAGAATAGAGTATTTATGGCTGGGCGAGGTGGCTCACGCCTGTAATCCCAGCACTTTGGGAGGCCAAAGCAGGCAGATCACAAGGTCAGGAGATCGAGACCTTCCTGGCCAACATGGTGAAACCCCGTCTCTACTAAAAATACAAAAATTAGCTGGGTCTGGTGGCACATGCCTGTAGTCCCAGCTACTCGGGAGGCTGAGGCAGGAGAATGGTGTGAACCCAGGAGGCGGAGCTTGCAGTGAGCCGAGATCATGCCACTGCACTCCAGCCTGGGCGACAGAGCGAGACTCTGTCTCAACAACAACAAAAGAAGGAATCTTGCTTCTCCCTTTAGAACCTGGAAATGTGTCGCATCTCTGAAAATGCTCTGATTTTGCATTTGCAGGTCCTAGAAATTCTTGTCCTTCCTCACTTTTTGTTCAGTACCTAAAATGCCTATACATTTTGTCAACTGGAGCTTTGAGCTAACATCCTAAATTTTAAGGGAGAACAAATATATGTACATTATGTTTGAGGTTTGTCAAGGTTGTGCTAAATGAATACCTCCCACATTTAGTTTAATTACTCTGTAAGTTATATTTAGAATAACAATATTAACCTCTGCTACATAGTTCTCTGTAAAGTACAAAAGCACATTCATATTCATTTTCTTATTTTCTTCACCAAAACCCGGTGGGGCAGTATAAACTCCATGCTGTCAATGACAAGAAAACAAATCCCAGAGGCTGATCTAAGCTAGCTAAGCGACAAAGCTTGATTTTAGAGTCAGGTCAAATCTGAAAATTATTCTTTCCACCATACCTTGCTGTTTGCTCAAAAATAAACAAGAACCAAGAAATAAGAACATCTAAATTATTTTATTAAGGGCAGAGGGGGAAGAAACCCACCAAACAAAGCAGTAATCCTTGATACCATGTTCACTATTATCATCTCATCAAGAGTAGAACACTCAAAAAGGCTCAGACAAGTAACATAAGAGTCATCAGGCCAGGTGCAGTGGCTCACTCCTGTAATCCCAGCACTTTGGGTGTTTGAGGCGGGTGGATCACCTGAGGTCAGGAGTTTGAGACCAGCCTTACCAACATGGTGAAACCCCGTCTCTACTAAAAATATAAAATTAGCCGGGTGTGGTGGCACATGCCTCTAATCCTAGCTACTTGGGAGGCTGAGGCAGGAGAATCATTTGAACCCAGGAGGCAGAGGTTGCAATGAGCCAAGATGGTACCATTGCACTCCAGCCTGGGCAACAAGAGCAAAATTCCGTCTCAAAAAAAAAAATTATGCAGAAAAATGGCAGTGAACTGTTTGTTCTGTAACCCGACATGACATTGACCCAGTTATGTTAGCTGGCACCAACAAATATCCTGAATAAAACAGAACTGACAGCAGCTGGGGGACCCACTGACTTAATTTAGTTAACACTGTTTTAGAAGTCGGTTAAGTAGACCAGGAGTGGTGGCTCATACCTGTAATCCCAGCACTTGGGAGGCTTTGCAAGGCCAAGGCGGACAGATCACTTGAGGCCAGGAGTTTGAGATCAGTCTGGCCAGTGTAGCGAAACCCTGTCTCTACTGAAAATACAAAAAGTTAGCTGGGCGTGGTGGTGCACACCTGTAATCCCAGCTACTCGGGAGGCTGAGGCAGGAGAGTCGCTTGAACCCGGGAGGCAGAGGTTGCAGTGAGCCGCTGCACTCCAGCCTGGGCAATGGGGTGAGACTGTGTCCCCAAAAAATTTTTAAAAAAGAGTTGAGTAAGTAGTTTAAGTTGAGTTGTTTTGTTTACTAATGAATATAACTTACAGGGATTATTTTCCCTATGTAACCTTTCATAGAAGCTAGAAATCAATTTTGTGTTATGGTGAAATTGAAGGTTAATGGAGGGCAGATTGAAGTGTTCCATAAACCCACTCTGTTTGATATTATTTCCAGGATATTTGGATGTTTCGAGCTCGACTTGTGAAAGGAGAAAGAACCAATCTTTGAAATAGCCATCTGCTATAACTCTTTCAACAGAAAACCAAAACCAAACGAAATGTCTAAGGAAAATGTTTTCTTAATGAGATGATGTAACCTTTTCTATCACTTGTTAAAAGCAGAAAACATGTATCAGGTACTTAATTGCATAGAGTTAGTTTTGCAGCACAATGGTGTTGCTTTAATGGAAAAAAAAAACAGTAAAAGTGAAATATTACTGTTTTAAGGAAAACTAATTTAGGGTGGCAGCCAATAAAGGTGGTTGGTGTCTAATTTAAGTGTTAAATCAATTTCTTTCATTCAGTTAGCTCTTTACCCAAGAAGAAGTGAATGATTTGGAGCTTAGGGTATGTTTTGTATCCCCTTTCTGATAAACCCATTCCCTACCAATTTTATGTCATAAGAGATTTTTTTCCCCCAAATCTAGAACAATGTATAATACATTCACATCTAGTCAAGGGCATAGGAACGGTGTCATGGAGTCCAAATAAAGTGGATATTCCTGCTCGGACAAGGGCTTTCTCCTGTGATTTCTTCAACCCAACCATTCCCTTAACAAGAAGACTTGTTCTTTCCAGTCCTTTCCTCTGTTCCTGAAGAATGAAGACAAGGGCCAGGTGCAGTGGCTCACGCCTGTAATCCTAGCACTTTGGGAGGCCGAGGTGGGTGGATCACCTGAGGTCAGGAGTTCAAGACCAGCCTGGCCAACATGGCAAAACCCCATCTCTCCAAAAATACAAAAAAAAAAAAAAAAAATAGCCGAGCGTGGTGGCATGCACCTGTAATCCCAGCTACTCAGGAGGCTGAGGCAGAAGAATTACTTGAACCTGGGAGGCAGAGGTTGCAGTGAGCTGAGATCACACCACTGCACTCCAGCTTGGGTGACAGAGCAAGACCCTGTCTCAAAAAAAAAAAAAAAGGAATGAAAAATAAATAAATAAAAAGAACGAAGATGAGGGTGACTTCATTTGATGTATCTTATTGGGTAGGGCTGCTGGAAACTTTCCACATTTATGAATGAAGCCTAACCTCCTTCAAGCTATAGGGAACTTTTTAGATACTTTTCCCTGGATTTGGAGTGAGCATGGACTGAACAAACTTATTTCAAGACAGCACCATATTTTCGGTACCAGCTGAGGGCAGCAAGGAGACATAGTCCTTATTTTTACAAATTTTAGTTAGGGCTTTAGTAAGAAAGAAATAACAGAGTACCTTTCTTGTCATTCTGCTAAGCACAAGTTTTCCTAAATCTAGTGTTGCCATGAGTGCCGTTTTGTTTGTGAGGACAGCCAAGTGAAGCTCATCTCCCACTGGGAACTGGAGAAGGCAGATCACTGACAGAATCTAAGGAAATTAGATTATGGGATGATTGGAAATAAAACGTAATAAAGGAATGCCTGTGTAAACAACATGTGGGGAGCCCTGCTTTGTTATGGAATAAACTCTAAATTGTTTCAAATTTAAAGTGAATATGAAAAACTAAATTTCAGTAGGAATATTGAAGAGCAATTTGTTATTTCCTGTGTGCCTTTGTGAGTGAAAACCAACTGGTTGCCATCAGGAAACATTCATTTCCCATCTGATCCATGTCCCTTTTGTCCATTAGTGCATGTAAGAAATATTCAAGCACCCACTCTTTTTTTTTTTTTTTAATTTTTTTGAAGACACGGTCTTGCTCTGTCACCCAGGCTGGAGTGCTGTGGTGTGATCTCAGCTCACAGCAAACTCTGCCTCCCAGGTTCCAGTGATTCTCCCGCCTCAGCCTCCCGAGTAGCTGGGACTAAAGGTGCACGCCACCACACCCAGCTAATTTTTGTAGTTTTAGTAGAGACGAGGTTTCACCATGTTGGCCAGGCTGGTCTCAAACTCCTGGCCTCAAGTGATCCACCCACCTAGGCCTCCCAAAGTGCTGCGATTACAGGCGTGAGCCACCGCGCCCGGCTAAAATATCCAAGCACCTACTCTATGAAGTGGGACTAGATGTCAGGATGAGGTAGGGTGCCTCAAACTGTCCGCGCGGACCTGTCCTGTGAAAGGTGGCAGTCAGGGTTGGCTGGAAAATGAAGAGTCAGGGAAGGAATTCCACCAGATTTCATCAGACTGAGGGGAGGTGGGAGGGGATTTGTCCTGGGCTCATGTCCATTTCACCAAAGTCTAGTCTAAAAGGACTTTATAAGGTGCTCGAACAAATCACAAAACAAAACAAATTGCAAGGATCCTCTTCTGTGAATTTTGAGACTAATAGCTTGGGAAAACTGGAGGCCTTTGCTCCTTGTGTGTGCTTGGAGCCTCCCCCTCCCCCACTCTTTTTTCTATGGTTTTTTTTGGGGGGAGGAGTTGTTTATTTGTTTGTTTTGTTTTGTTTTGTTTTTGAGACAGAGTCTTGCTCTGCACCCAGGCTGGAGTGCAGTGATGCGATCTCGGCTCACTGCAAGCTCCGCCTCCCGGGTTCACGCCATTCTCCTTCCTCAGCCTCCCGAGTAGCTGGGACTACAGGCGCCCGCCACCACGCCCGGCTAATTTTTTTTTATTGTTAGTAGAGACGGGGTTTCACCATGTTAGCCAGGATGGTCTTGATCTCCTGACCTCATGATCCGCCCGCCTCGGCCTCCCAAAGTGCTGCGATTACAGGCGTGAGCCACTGCACCCGGCCTACTTTTTTTTTTTTTTTTTTTTTTTTAACAGGTGGAGTCTTACTTTTTTGTGTAGGCTAGTCTCAAACTTTTGACTTCAGCAATCCTCTCACCTCTGCCTCCCAAAGTGCTGAGATTACAGCTGTGAGCCACTATGCCTGGCCTTATTTTTTACTATCTAATAGAATAGTGGTATATATGATTACTGTAATTTGCATTTATTTGATCATAATGAGATAGAGGAGTTTTCATATCGCTATGGGCGTTCTGTGGCCGACTTGCTGAATGCTGGTCTCTTAGGCCCAAGAGGATACCTTGTGGTAGAAAAGCCAGAGAACAGATTTCAACTAGCCGTATATAGCTGGAATGTCTGGAGAGAGTTAGCTTATTTTTCCATCTCATTCATTTCAAGCCTGAAGCCGCCTGATGTCAAGTCTGAAGCCCATTGAAGGCCTTTGTTAGGTGTCCTGGAAGGGAGGGGAAGAAAAAGCCAAGGGTTTGTACCTGATGATGTTCAAAATATGTAACAGAGGGACCATCAGTCAGATACCATGAGTACAGGAATGTGGCACTTCAGTTGATAACAGCATTGTCCTGAGCAAGGCAGGTCCCACAGGTGGCCCCTGCTCAGCATATTTGGAAGAGGGTTGAGAAGGTTCCCACCCATGTCTGAGATTCCATCACTCACCATGAGTTTGAGGACCAAGCCTCTTTCTGGACATTCTCTCTTTTTTTTTTTTTTTTTTTTTTTTGAGACGGATTCTCGCTCTGTTGCCCAGGCTGGAGTGCAGTGGTGTAATCTTGACTCACTGCAAGCTCCGCCTCCCGGGTTCAAGCGATTCTCCTGCCTCAGCCAACACTGTCTTTTAAGATGCAAGTACCTCTGGAATGACAGCACTGGATCCTAATATCTTCGTGAAGACATTTCTTCTGCATCCAGAGAAGAAATAAAGCAGCCTTTGGGAACAAGGGAAGGATGAAAAGTGGGTGCAGAAAAGCAAAAGGGAAGAGGGTCACGGGAGCTGTAGGACAGGGCCGCAAAGTATCCTCAGCTGAGGTTGGCTTTCCCCAGAGCTGGCGCTGAGCTTGGGAGCATGGCTGCTACATCCGCTGCCAACACATTGATAGACTCTTAGGCCAGGCGCGGTGGCTCACACCTAAAATCCCAGCACTTTGGGAGGCCAAGGAGGGCGGATCACGAGGTCAGGAGATCGAGACCGTCCTGGCTATCACGGTGAAACCCCGTCTCTACTAAAAATACAAAAAATTAGCCGGGCGTGGTGGCGGGCGCCTGTAGTCCCAGGTACTCGGGAGGCTGAGGCAGGAGAATGGCGTGAACCTGGGAGGCGGAGGTTGCGGTGAGCCGAGATCGCGTCACTGCACTCCAGCCTGGGCGACAGAGCGAGACTCCGTCTCAAAAAAAAAAAAAAAAAAAAAAAAAGGAAGGACTGTCATGGCTGGTAAGTAGCCTTCATCTTGAGCTCCTCAGTCCATGAAGTGCTGCCCCTCCTTCCCACCTGCTCCAGCCCCTCTCCTGAGATTCCTCCCCTCCCTCCCCAAGTCCAGCAACCCAACTGGTAGTGCCAGGCTGCCCAGGAGCCTCCAGGACCTGTCCTGGCGTTGTAGACACTTGCTCTAAGCCTCACTGGCCGTTCTACATTTTATTTTGTTTTGTTTTATTTTATTTTGAGACGGAGTCTTGCTCTGTCACCCAGGCTGGAGAGCAATGGTGCAATCTTGGCTTACTGCAACCTCTGCCTCCCGGGTTCAAGCAATTCTCCTGCCTCAGCCTCCCGAGTAGCTGGGATTACTGGTGCGTGCCACCACACCTGGCTAATTTTTGTATTTTTAGTAGAGACGGGGTTTTACCATGTTGGCCGGGCTGGTCTTGAACTCCTGACATCAAGTGATCCACCGGCCTTGGCCTCCCAAAGTGCTGGGATTACAGGCGTGAGCCACCACGCCCAACCCATTCTAAATTTTAATATCACTGCTTCCAAGAGTGGTCTCATTGATCATAAAACAAATCAAAAGAGATTCTGCTACGTATTCAAACAGTTGTTGGCAAATGACTGCGTCAGTCATCTAAACCATCTTTTAATCCCAGATAATTTCCCCTCCCCTTCTCTGCCACTCTGGGACAGGAATTGATGATCGGATATTTCTTTTCTCTCCCTGCCCTTTATTTTTTTTAGAAACAGGCTCTCACTCTGTCACCCAGGCTGGTGTGATCATAGCTCACTGCAGCCTTGACCTCTTTGGCTCAAGCTAGCCTCCCACCTCAGCCTCCTGAGTAGCTGGGACCACAGATGCACACCACCATGCTCAGCTAATTTTGTTTATTTACTTATTTTTTTGTAGAGACAGGGTCTCCCTATGCTGCCCAGGCTGGTCTCAAACTTCTGGGCTCAAGCGATCCTCCTGCCTCAGCCTCCCAAAGTGCTGGGATTACAGGCATGAGCTACCCACACGGTTTTTGCTTTTTTATTGTTTTATTTTATTTTTATTATTTCCTTACTTTCTGGCACTACAAGGTGCTCCAGGATTATTTTGTATCTTCCTGCCCTTTGTCCTATAATGAGCCATTTCTCCAAAGAGCCCTGGTTCTACCTGTTGGGAACTGTTGGAAACCAAGATCTGGGCTTGAGATGCACTCTCAATGTGCATTGTTACCAAGCTCGTACAGTGATTCTTAAAGCGCTCCAAAACTGGCGATCCCCTGGCCCAGCATCTCTGGAAAGTCACAGTCATTCAGAGACAATAGTGCTCTGGCCTGGGGAGGTTTATATTTGCTCCGAGAGATTCCAGAGTCTTGCTTGGGCCTCTGAAAATTTCAGACCTACCTTCATTCTTCTTCAGGCTTGGCATTTCTTGGAACACGGTGTTTGTTGGGGAGGCAAAGAAACAGGACTTTTTGCATTGATTTAATTTTGATTTGAAGCACGTGAAATTTACTACTCGTTTAGAAGCTAAAATAACATTTTAAAATAAAATAACGGACAGGAAGAAATTGGGAGTGATTTGGGGGCTGGATACCCAGCAGGACAGGCCACACTGTCTCCCAGCCTGTTTGGGTATTTCTGCCTTCAGTCAGAAGATGCAACCTTTTTCCTGTCAAGAGCCAGATAGTAAATATTTTCAGCTTTGCAGCTGGGCCATCTCTGAGGCAGCTGCTCAACTGTGCCGCTGGAGCAGGAAGGCGTCCAGAGACAACATGTAATCCAACATGCGTGGCTGGGACCCAATAAAGCTCTATTTACAAAAACAGGCATCCCGCCAGATGTGGCTCGGAGGCGCTAGTTTGCCCACTCCGCTCTAGATGAATGCACAAATTCAGTAAAGCCAACACGTGCCTTGTCCCTTGGCAGGAGGCACCTTGCACCACTGAAGCGATGCTTTGGGGGCCTCACACCTCGCAGCTTCTGAGAGACGGGCAGGAAGTTTCTGCTATCCTCCCTTCCTTGGTGCGGAGAAGAGCTTGCTTACCTGTGACATGCAGCTGTTTGTTTTGTTTCCTCGATGTGGCCAGTGTTTAATCTGGATTAAGTTTACGGCAATGTGTTAAGCCCACCCCACCACCCCACCAGATCTCTCTAGTGTAACTTGCAACCCACGAAGGACCTACTTTGGGCTGTGGTGGGAGATGATATTTTCATGGATTCCATTTAAATGTACCTATCAGTAGCAGTCAGAATCTCGGTTGCGAGCAACAGAAACTGCCCTTGACCGTGAGAAACAGAAACTGCCCTTGACCGTGAGAAACAGAAAACAGATGGTGTCAGCAGGCTCTCTGGGGCTCGGGGACGTGCTATGAGTGGCGCTGGGGGGCAGGGCACAGCACAAAGGGGCAGGCTAGGCCAGTGGCTTTGGGGATAAGATGACCTCTACCCCCACCCCTGTCCCTGGGCCTCCTGATTCGTAGTCAAAGCACCGGGGACAGGCTCTTTCAGGCAGTGAGAGCCACATGCTGCCTCCTGGTGGCCGCAGAGGTGGGGAGAGGGAATATGGGTGAGAATATGCCACCACCTCCCCCCAAATCACACATCAGAGGAAACGAGATTGCCCCAAAGCAAGATCAGGTTACAAAAAGGAAGAAGATAGCCCCAAACACTGTGTCCACTGCAACACAGGTGCACCGAGCATTGACCCACACACCTGAATTTCATAGTTTAGCTGCATGGAGAGGGTAAAATCAATTCTGAGAAGAAAGAAGGGAAGGGCTGTGATGAAGGTCACTGCACCAGGAGAAGGGAGTCTTCCCTGAGCAAACGTCCACTTCCCCAGTCCTGGCCTGTCACCCTGTCTCGGCTCCTACATGACACAGACTCATCACCTGGTGTTAGGTCAAACTCTGGGACCCACCCGGTGGTGACCCATCATTGATATTAATTTAGTGAGTCACAACGTCAGTTTTGAAAAAAAGAACAAAATAGAATAAAATGAAAAAAATGCAAAAGATGAGAGAGACTTGCACATCGTAAGAGAAAGTGATGCTTCGATTTCCAATGTGCATGCTCATTTGGGATCACAACGCAAAATAAATTTGTTACTGTTGGGTGTAGTCAAAAAGTATGAAGTCCACTAGTCTAGATCATGACTCACACTGTAGGAGTTGGCTCAGGCTGTCATAAAAAATACCGCAGACTGAGTGGCTTTAACAACAGACATTTATTTTCTCAACTTTCTGGAGGCTGGAAGTCCAAGATCAAGGTGTTGGCACAGTGGGTTCCTTCTGAGGCCTCTCTCCTGGGTTTGTAGATGGCTGTCTCCTGTCTGTGTCTTCACATCATCTTCCCTCTGTGTCTGGGTCCAAATTTCCTTTCTTATAGGACATCAGTCATATTGGATTAGGGCCTATCCCAGTGATATGGTTTGGATCTGTGTCCCCACCAAATCTCATGTTGAATTGTAATCCCCAGTGTCGGAGATGGGCCTGGAGCAAGGCAATTGGATCATGGAGGCCGAGTTCACGAGTGGTTTAGCAACTTCCCCTCGGTGCTGTTCTCGTGACAGTGAGTGAGTTCTCCTGAGATCTGGTTGTTTAAAAGTGCGTTGCACCTCACTCTCCCTCTTGTTCCTGCTTTTGCCATGTGAACTTTATTTTATTTTTTTTTTTTTGAGATGGAGTCTCGCTCTGTCACCCAGGCTGGAGTGCAGTGGTGTGATCTTAGCTCACTGCAACCTCCACCTCCTGGGCCCAAGTGATTATACTGCCTCAGTCTCCTGAGTAGCTGGGTTTACAGGTGTCTGCCATGAAGCCCGGCTAATTTTTGTATTTTTAGTAGAAACGGGGTTTCACCATGTTGGCCAGGCTGGTTTTGAACTCCCAACCTCAGGTGATCCGCCTGCCTTGGCCTCCCAAAGTGCTGGGATTCCAAGCATGAGCCACTGTGCCCGGCCAACCATGTGAACTTTCTATTCCCACTTTGCCTTCCACCATGAGTTAAAGCTCCTTAAGGCCTCCCTAAAAGCAGATGTCACAGCGATTTCTGTATAGCCTGTGGAACTGTGAGCCAATTAAACCTCTTTTCTTTATAAATTACCCAGTCTCAGTTATTTCTTGTGGTTGATTTTGTTGTTGTTGTTGTTGTTGTTGTTTTTGAGACGGAATCTCACTCTGTCACCCAGGCTGGAGTGCAGTGGCACAATCTCGGCTCACTGCAACCTCCGCCTCCCAGGTTCAAGCGATTCTCCTGCCTCAGACTCCCAAGTAGCTGGCATTACAGCCACCTGCCACTATTTCCAGCTAATTTTGTACATTTTTAGTAGAGATGGGGTTTCACCATGTTGGTCAGGCTGGTTTCGAACTCCTGACCTCAGGCGATTCACCCGCCTCGGCCTCCCAAAGTGCTCCCAAAGTGAGGCGGGAGCCACCTCACCCAGTCTCAGGTATTTCTTTACAGTAGTGTGAGAACGAATGAATACATCCAATGACTTTATTTTACCTTCATTACCTCTTTAAAGATACTCTCTTCACATACATCACATTCTGAGGTACTAGGGACTTGTAATTGGGGGGACACAGTTCATAACACACACGTTGGATCTTTTTTCTTTAAATTTTTTTTTTTTTTTTTTGAGACGGAGTCTCGTTCTCTCACCAGGCTGGAGTGTAGTGGTATGACTTCAGCTCACTGAAACTTCTGACTCCCTGGTTCAAGCAATTCTTCTGCCTCACCCTCCCGAGTAGGTGGGATTACAGGCACGTGCCACCACGCCTGGCTAATTTTTGTATTTTTAGCAGAGATGGGATTTCACCATGTTGGCCAGGATGGTCTCGATCTCCTAACCTCGTGATCTGCCTGCCTTGGCCTCCCAAAGTGCTGGGATTCCAGGCGTGAGCCACCACGCCCGGCCTTTTCTTTAAATTTTTAAATTTCAACTTTTATTTTAGATTCAGGGTGTACATATGCAGTTTTGATATATTTCCATGATGCTGATGTTTGGGGCGCAATGGATCCTGAAACAGGAATTGAAAGAAAATAAAGAATGTGTGAGCAAAAACTCAGCTGTATGTAAGAAAACCCAATTCCCCCTGAAGAAGAGAAACAGCTGGAGTCCTTTCAAATTAACTGCCTGTTTTTCTGTGGCTGGTGAGCCTTATCTCTCCTCCCTTCCCAGGCATTGTGAAGACTCTGCTTCTCTAGCAGTGCAGCTGCAAGGTCACTAGGCAGATAATCTCAAGTCATAAAACATGTTCCTTAAAAAGTAAGAAACGATGTAAATCATGTCTCAATTGAATAACTGTCTTTGCTTCTCGCTTCTATAATATGCTTCCCCCTGCACAGATCTCCCCCCAGCCCCACAAAATGCTTAAAAGGTAACTTGACTCTTTGTTCAGGGCTCAGTCCTTTGGATGTTAATCCAACTGGGTCGGTGCACCTAAATAATTAAATAATTCCTCCTCAACACCTCGGTCTCTGTGATTCCTTAATTATGCTGCTGCAATCCCATCACCCAGGTACTGAGCATAGTACCCAGGAGGTAGTTTTGGAGCCCTTGCTTCTCTTCCTCCCTCTCCACTCTAGGAGTCCCCAGTGTCTAGTGTTCACATCTTTATGCCCATGTGTGCCCAATACTTAGCTCCTATTTATAAGTGAAAACATGTGGGGGGTGTTTGTTTTTCTGTTCTTGGGTTAATTCCTTTAGGATAATGGCCTCCAGCTGCATCCAAGTTGCTGCAAAGAACATGAGTTAGTTCTTTTTTCGTGGCTGTATAGTATTCCACGGTCTATATATACCACATTTTCTTTATCCAATCCACCGCTGATGAACTCCTGGATTGGTTCTACATCTTTGCTCTTGTCAGTAGTGCTGCAATGACACTTTGGAACTTTTGAGCAGCCGATGAAGGTTTGGGATTTTCAGACTTACTTCTTCTATGGTTGGTAATGCCTATCCAAGCATGATTACAGTTTTATTAATATGCCTTCGTTGTTCCAACATTCTAATCCCTTTTTCTCGGTAAAGTTGCTATTCCTTGATACAATCTATACCTCTTATAAGAGAGAGCCAGCCTTTGTCATGGGCTTGAGACAACTTGAAACATCACGGCAAGGGTAATCCCTCCTGCCAGCCCCTCTCATCCCCAACTCTATCTAAACAATTATGGCAAAGATGGAGTTTGGAGATCTCTCTAGTGGAAAAAGGGTGTTCAGGGAATTGCGGGCCGACAGAACAGAAATTAAAAAGCCCAATTTTTGTCCCCCTGAGTCACTGATTTTTGTGCTTTACCTCCAGAACAAAAGGCCTCAAAGAACACAGGCTTTCTTAGGAAAAATGTAGTTAGCTGTGTCTTCAGCTCCCAGGGTACATCTTACTATGCTTTATGGAGCTGAACATCCCTCCCTGTATTACCTAATCAGACAGGCTGAACAATACAGTGGAGCAATGCTGAGTTTGAGGTCAGACAAACCTGCGCTTAATTTCTGACTCTCGTACTAACCAGCTGTGCGCTCTTGGGTAAATTACTTGACTTCTCTGGGTCTCAGAGTGCTCATTTGAAAAATGGAAGTAACAAGGCTTAGCTGGGCACAGTGGCTTACGCCTGTAATCCTAGCACTTTGGGAGGCTGAGGTGGGCAGATTAGTTGAGGCCAGGAGTTCAAGACCAGCCTGGCCAACGTGGTGATACCCTGTCTCTACTAAAAATACAAAAAATTAGCCGGGCGTGGTGGCACGCATCTGTAATCCCAGCTACTTGGGAGGCTGAGGCACGAGAATTGCCGGAACCCAGGAGGTAGGGGTTGCAGTGAGCCATGATCGCAACAAAACAAGGAAAACAAGGTTTATCTTCAATCAAAAGTGAAAACATCTAGCTCGTTGGCAGAACATCGAAAGAGATCATATGGTAGAGCAAGCATTCCGTAAGTGCTGTAAAGTGTTGTAATGCTTGTTAATCTTCACAAATGTGAGGCAGGGTAAGTATGTTTTGCTCCATTTTTGGTTATACATTCTTTTTTTTTTTTTTTTTTTTTGAGGCCGAGTCTCACTCTATCGGTCAGGCTAAAGTGCAGTGGAGTGATCTCAGCTTACTGCAACCTGCACCTCCTGGGTTCAAGCAATTCTCCTGCCTCAGACTCCCGAGTAGCTGGGATTACAGGCACCAGTCACTATGTCTAGCTAATTTTTTGTATTTTTAGTTGAGACAGGGTTTCACCATGTTGGCCAGGTTGGTTTTGAACTCCTGACCTCAAGTGATCCACCTGCCTTGGCCTCCCAAAGTGCTGGGATTACAGGCATGAGCCACCGTGCCTGGCCTGGTTACCTATTCTTTGAAGAATAATTTAGTTGCTTTGAGTAAGAGATGAAGTTTGTAGATCCAGGAGTTCTAATTTCTGGAGCAGGTGTTTCTATCATACCACAGGCAGATCACTTGATGATGCTTTTTGCTTACAATTGCAAAGAAATTCACAAGCTGTGGTTTATCTTCCCTGGTAGAACTTCAGCAGACATGCGACAGGAAATGTCTATCTTAGCCTCAGTTCCTTAAAAAGCAGAGCAGGTAGCTCACGCCTGTAATCCCAGCACTTTGGGAGTCTGAGGCAGGAGGATTGCCTGAGGTCAGGAGTTCGAGACCAGGCTGGCAAACATGGTGAAATCCCCTGTCTCTACTAAAAATACAAAAATTAGCTGGGCGTAGTGGCACGTGCCTATAATCCCAGCACTCAGGAGGCTGAGGTAGGAGAATCGCTTGAACCTGGGAGACGGAGGTTGCAGTGAGCCGAAATAGCGCCACTGCACTCCAGGCTGGGTGACAGGGTGAGACTCTGTCTCAAAAAAAAAAAAAAGGAAATTTTGATCCATGCTGAAACATGAAGATCCTTGAGGACATTATGCTAAGTGAAATAAGCCAGATGCAAAAGGGTAATTACGGTCTGATTCCACTTACGTGGAACGGACATCCCTAGAGTAGTCAAATTCACAGAGACAGAAGGTAGGATGGTGGTTCTCAGGCGCGGGACGGAGAAAGAGTGGGGAGTTGTTGTTTAATGGGGAAAGAGGTTCAGAGGGTGGAAAGTGTTCTGGAGATGGATGGTGGCGATGATCGCACAACAGTGACTGTGCTTGATGCCACTCAACTGTACACCTAAAAGTGGCTAAGATGCCAAATTTTATGTTATGTGTATTTAACCACAATTTTTTTTTTTAAAGAGCATAAGATTTTTAAAAGGATGACGGGAACTCTAAGCCCAAGGAAAAAAGGTCTCTGGTTTTCCCGTTAGTCCTAAAATTCACAGAAGGGGAATCTTTCCTGTTTGTTTTGTTTGTGCCTTGTGTGAGCACCTCATAAAGTCTTTTTTTGAGACGGAGTTTCACTCTTGTCGCCCAGGCTGGAGTGCAACGGCACGATCTCGGCTCACCACAACCTCCGCCTCCCGGGTTCACGCCATTCTCCTGCCTCAGCCTCCCGAGCAGCTGGGACTACAGGCACCCACCGCTACGCCCCGCTAATTTTTTGTATTTTTAGTAGAGACGGGGTTTCACCGTGTTAGCCAGGATGGTCTCAATCTCTTGAACTCATGATCCGCCCGCCTCGGCCTCCCAAAGTGCTGGAATTACAGGCGTGAGCCTCTGCAACCGGCCACACTCTTCATTTCTTGCTTCTTCCTGGACACAGTTCAACATTGATCCTGGGGGGTTTTGTGACTTGACCCTGGGGGTATGGTCACTGGAGCTGCAGCTAACCCCCCAGGAAACACAGCTTTCTCTCCACCACGTGATTTGCAGAATCTCTTCCTGGTCTGAAACCTGCATTTCCTGGTCTGCAGTCTTTTCCTAGACCAATGACAGAGCCAATTAAAAAAAAAAAAAAAAGGACCAAACCCCACACTCAGTCCCTAGCTCTCCTTGGAGAGTCCCTCGAATGCTCCCCGCAGCCAGGCCTCAGGAGAAACCCCGGCTGCTCTATGTACCTTCCTATACAAGTCACTGAACATCTCTAGACCTTAGCTTCTTCATTTATAAAATAGGGCTGCATGGAGTGCTTTGCAAAGTAAATAAGAGTATTGGATATTTTTCTCTTTTGTTCTTATCATTTGTGGAGAAACCCATTCAGACTTCACTTGGTAAAAAAGATCTTAAAATTGGGTCTAGAGCTGGGCACAGTGGCTCACACCTGGAATCCCAGAACTTTGGGAGGCTGAGGCAGGAGGATCGCTTGGCCTCAGGAGTTCAAAACCAGCCTGGATAACATAGTGAGACCCATCTCTACAAAAGACAATACAACTATCTGGACATAGTGGTGTGCACCTGTGGTCCCAGCTACACAGGAGGCTGAAGCAGGAAGATCACTTGAGCCCAGGAGGTTGAGACTGCAGTGAGGATGATCACACCAGTGCACTCCAGCCTGGGCTGGAGACCCTGTCTCAAAAAATAAGGATGTATTTATCAATGAATATGACAAAACTCACCCCCAAATCAGTCACGACTATGCCTCGGATGTTGCTGGAAACTGGCAGGAGGGGGAGAGCTCCAGACCACCCATAATCTTGTGTTGATTCCTCGTTACCCCGATGGGCTCCTGTGTCTTCCTCCAAAACAAGAAAAAGACAAAATCACACATGTTATCTTCCATCATCCTGTGGCCTGGAGGATCTCAGGTAATTCCTATACACTGCCTATTTTACAAGAGTGAATGTATAAAACAAATGTTTTTTTAAAAAAACACCTGGGCTGAGCACAGTGGCTTACGCTGTAATCCCAGAGCTTTGGGAGGCTGAGGTGGGAAGATCTGCTTGAGGCTAGGAGATCGAGACCAGCCTGGGCAATATGGTGAGACACTGTCTCTACAAAAAATTTAAAAATTAGCCGGGTGTGGTGGCATGCATTTGTAGCCCCAGCTACTTGGGAGGCTGAGGCAGGAGGATTGCTTGAGCCCAGGAGGTTGAGGCTGCAGTGAGTCGTGACTGCACCACAGCACTCTACCCTGGATGACAAAGTGAGACCCTGTCTCTAACAAACAAACAAACAAACAAACCAAAAAACCCTGGGTTTCATACATAATAGGTGATGATCTGCTTATTATTAGGACAGTCTGCCTCATTCCTTTCTGGTTACTAAAAAGAGGTGTGGAAAACATGGGCAGGTTGAGTAGGAATGAAAATAATTAAAGGGTTAGAAGCTAGGGCTTCAAAAATGACAAATATGGCTTTAGGAAAAGATCTTAAGCGGACCAAAATTTCGACTGATCAGAAAAGTTTACATGTGTTCCTTCTGCACTTCTGATCCAGTCCTCAGAATTTCACTCCCAACAGTCTCACAGATGCCTCCAGTCACTGGAACAAACCCCCTTTTCATACCTCCTTGCACAGGAGACTTGCCTCACACAAGCCCACATTCACCCACTGGGTCGCTCTTGTACCATGACACAGACACCCTTTCATGCGTTCCCTCAACAGAGAGACCCAGACGCCGGCCAACACATGTGTGCACACACTCACACCACACACCTCGCACCGGCACTCCAGCCCTTGTCCCCTCACAGTTGCCTGGCCACCCTTCCCACTTCTCCCAGCTTTCAACCAAGCCCTCCACGTCAATACCCTTTAGTAAATATTTACTGAGTGACCATGATGTTCCAGGCACTATCACAACCCCTGGGAGAAACAGAACTGAGTAAGATATAGTCTTTGCTCCCAAGGAGCTCAGAGTCTACTGGAGAAGCGGGCAGCAGAGGGAGAGCAATCTCCTACAAATCTATGTGCATGGAGTAAGGCTGAACCTAGAAGTGGGGTCATGTACAAGGAAAAGTGAGGGCAAAAGGGAGAGAATGGGGTGGGGCACACAAGGAAGAGAAGGTCACTTCTACCAGGAGAGGTGAAAGGAGAGAGGCATTGAGGAGAAGAGGGTGCTCAGTCATAATCTGGAAGAATTAGAAAGTCTTTGTCCAATAGGCAAGGGAGTAGAGGGCTGCTCACCAGAGAGAGAATGTCAAGAAAGGGTAAATCCACACAGCATGGCAAGAGTGTGTTAGTTCAGAGCACAGAGGGTGAGACAGCGGGAGAGACAACTGGAGAGGTCAACAGGGATGGATGATGAACATCCTTTTACACCACACATAGTAAATTGGAGTTTATTCAATGTTCAATGGTAGGCCGGGTGCAGTGGCTCACACCTGTAATCCCAGCACCTTGGGAGGTCAAGGCGGGTGGATCACCTGAGGTCAGGAGTTTGAGAACAGCCTGGCCAACATGGTGAAACCCTGTCTCTACTAAAAATAAAAAAAATAGCCAGGCATGGTGGTGCACATCTGTAATCCCAGCTACTGGGGAGGCCAAGGCAGGAGAATCGCTTGAACCCAGAAGGTGGAGGTTGCAGTGTGCTGAGATCACACCACTGCACTTCAGCCTGGGCAACAGAGCAAGACTCCTTTTCAAAAAAAGAAAAAAAACATGTTCAATGGTAAATAACTCAGGATGCTTTTGGTGGTAACAGAAAAAGTCAACTCTACAGGCTTAACCAATAAAGAAAATGCATTACCTCATAAAACTGGAAGCCCAGAGTAGGGCACATTCTGTCCTCATCAGATCAATCATTCTTCTCATGATCACAAAATGACTGCAGTGGCCCCAGGCATTGCATCTCTACACACCGTCCAGAGGCAAAATAGAATTCTATCCTTTCTTTGTGTCTCCTTTTAAGGACTAGGGATCCTTTTCTTGTGCTCTTTTTAAAAGTTAAGAATCCTTTTCCAGAATCTTCTGCACTACTGTAGTCTTCCTCCCTGCCTCAAGTTTGTAAACCCCTTCCTAAGTCAATGATTAGCAACGGATTGCCTTGACTGGCTTAACCAATCAAGATCAATGAGGAGATGGGTCCAGGTGTCTCTGAAGCACGTGGATGGCGGAGAACTGGACAGAATCTCAGCTCTGTTGACAAAGAAGGGGGTGGTAGGGTGCTGTGCATCATTGGGGGATTGTAGGTGGTATTGTCATATGATCAAATTTGCATTGTGGAAAGATGGTTTTGGCCAGGCGTGGTGCCTCTTGCCTGTAATCCCAGCACTTTGGGAGGCTGAGGCAGGTGGATCATGAGCTCAGGAGTTTGAGACCAGCCTGACCAACATGGTGAAACCCCATCTCTACTAAAAATACAAAAAAAAATAGCCGGGCGTGATGGTGCATGCTAATCCCAGCTACTCAGGAGGCTGAGGCAGGAGAATCGCTTGAACCTGGGAGGCAGAGGTTGCAGTGAGCCGAGATCACACCATTGCACTCCAGCCTGGGTGACAGATTGAGACTCCATTTTTTTTTTTTTTTTTTTTCTGAGATGGAGTTTTAACTCTTGTTGCCCAGGCTGGAGTGCAATGGCGCGACCTTGGCTCATAGCAATCTCTGCCTCCCAGGTTCATACGATTCTCCTGCCTCAGCCTCCCAAGTAGCTGGGATTACAAGCATGTACCACTACGCCCAGCTAATTTTGTATTTTTAGTAGAGACAGGGTTTCACCATGTTGGTCAGGCTGGTCTCGAACTCCTGACCTCAGGTTATCTACCCACTTCTGCCGCCCAAAGTGCTGGGATTACAGGCGTGAGCCACAGTGCCTGGCTGCATTGTGGAAAGATGAATATGACAATAGCTTGTAGAATGATGACAGAGAAGAATGAGACGCAACACAGGAAAACTGCTGTAGCAGGGGTGGAGATGAATGATAGCCTCAATCAGTCACATGCATTCAGGGAAGCAGCGACAAAAGTGATCTTTTAAAAAAAAATTGAGATAAGGTCTTGCTCTGACACCCAGGCTGGAGTGCAGTGGCTCAATCACAGCTCATCACAGCCTCAACCTCCTGGGCTCAAGTGATCCTCCCACATCAGCCTCCTGAGTAGCTAGGACCACAGGCATGCATCACCATGCCTGGTTAATTGTTTTTTATTTTTTGTAGAGATGAGTTTTTGCCATGTTGCCCAGGCTGGTCTCAAACTCCTGGGCTCAAGCAATCCTCCCGTCTCAGCCTCCCAAAGTGCTGGGATTTACAGACATGAGCCACTGTGCCTGGTCAAGAAAGGAAATTCTGACACATGCTACAACATGATAATTCTTGAGAACATTGTGCTAAGCAAACTAAACCAGACACAAAAGGACAATTACTGTGTGATTCCAATTATATGAGGTCCCTATAATAGTCAAATTAATGGGGACAGAGAATAGAATGGTGATGGAGAAATGGGGAGTTAGTGTTTAATGTGTGCAGAGTTTCAGTTTTGCAAGAAGAAAGAGTTCTGGAGATGGATGGTGGTGGTGGTTGCCCAACACAATGTGAATATACTGAAAACCACCCAATTGTCCACTTGAAAATGGCTAAGGCCAGGCGCCATGGCTCACGCCTGTAATCCCAGTGTGTCCGGAATTGGTGGGTTCTTGGTCTCACTGACTTCAGAATGAAGCCGCGGACCCTCGCGGTGAGTGTTACAGCTCTTAAGGTGGCGCGTCTGGAGTTGTTCCTTCCTCCCGGTGGGCTTGTGGTCTTGCTGGGCTCAGGAGTGAAGCTGCAGATCTTCGCAGTGAGTGTTACAGCTCATAAAGGCAGCGTGGACCCAAAGAGTGAGCAGTAGCAAGATTTATTGCAAAGAGCAAAAAAACAAAGCTTCCACAGTGTGGAAGGGGACCCGAGCGGGTTGCCAATGCTGGCTCTGGCAGCCTGCTTTTATTTTCTTATCTGGCCCCACCCACATCCTGCTGATTGGTAGAGCCGAGTGGCCTGTTTTGTCAGGGTGCTGATTGGTGCGTTTACAATCCCTGAGCAAGATACAAAGGTTCTCCACCTCCCCATCAGATTAGTTAGATACAGAGTTTCCACACACAGGTTCTCCAAGGCCCCACCAGAGCAGCTAGATACAGAGTGTCGATTGGTGCATTCACAAACCTTGAGCTAAACACAGGGTGCTGATTGGTGTGTTTACAAACCTTGAGCTAGATGCAGAGTGCCGATTGGTGTATTTACAATCCTTGAGCTAGACATAAAGGTTCTCCACGTCCTCACCAGAGCAGCTAGATACAGAGTGTCGATTGGTGCATCACAAACCTTGAGCTAAACACAGGGTGCTGATTGGTGTATTTACAATCCCTGAGCTAGATATAAAGACTCTCCACGTCCCCACCAGACTCAGGAGCCCAGCTGGCTTCACCTAGTGGATCCGGCACTGGGGCTGCAGGTGGAGCTGCCTGCCAGTCCTGCGCCGTGCACTCGCATTCCTCAGCCCTTGGGTGGTCGATGGGACTGGGCACCGTGGAGCAGGGGGTGGTGCTCGTCGGGGAGGCTCGGGCCACACAGGAGCCCATGGAGTGGGTGGGAGGCTCAGGCATGGCGGGCTGCAGGTCCTGAGCCCTGCCCCGTGGGAAGGCAGCTAAGGCCCGGCGAGAAATCGAGCGCAGCGCCGGTGGGCCAGCACTGCTGGGGGACTCAGTACACCCTCTGCAGCCACTGGCCCGGGTACTAAGTCCCCCATTGCCCGGGGCCAGCAGGGCTGGCTGGCTGCTCCGAGTGCGGGGCCCACCCAGCCCACGCCCACCCGGAACTCCAGCTGGCCCGCAAGCGCTGCACGCAGCCCCGGTTCCCGCTCACGCCTCTCCCTCCACACCTCCCCGCAAGCTAAAGGAGTGGGCTCCAGCCTTGGCCAGCCCAGAAAAGGGCTCCCACAGGGCAGTGGGGGGGGGGCTGAAGGGCTCCTCAAATGCCACCAAAGTGGAAGCCCAGGCAGGGGAGGTGCCGAGAGCAAGCGAGGGCTCTGAGGACTGCCAGCATGCTGTCACCTCTCAATCCCCTCTCTAAACGGGACACCCCAACTGCTGTTGGGAATTTGGCCGATGACCGCTCTGGCTACTTCCTGCTGGATAGGGGCAAAGAAGGGGCCCTGCAGTTGTGGTGTCCTTCAGAGGGGAACTCTCTAGGCCAGGGGAAGTGCCAGTGGGTCGGTCCAGGGGTCCTCGGTAGAAGTTGTTAGTTGAACTCATTTGGGGTTCCATTTGTAAGACCATCTGTAGCTTGATGGCCTCGATTCTAGAGGAAACAAATTTGACAAGAAGGTTAAAAATACAGGGCCCAAAGGCGAGTAACAGCAAGATGGCTGCCACAGGACCTAGAAAGGGGAGAAGCCATGTTGCCCAACTCCAGAGGTTGGTATAAGAATTTGAAAGGCGTTGTCTGATTTCAGAAGCCTTTTCCTGTAAATGCCGGGCAGCATCTCATACTATCCCTGACTGGTTAGTGTAAAAACAATACTCTTCCCCTAAGAAGGTGCAGAGACCTCCTTTCTCAGCAGTGAGGAGGTCTAGGCCTCGGCGGTTTTGGAGAGTCACTGCTGCCAAAGAGTCTATTTGGGATTGTAAAGTAAGGATAGATTTCGTTATTTCTTGCAAACCGTCTGAGAGGCCGATATGGGTTGAAGATCCACATAAGTAGAATATGCCTTGGCTGGGTAGATAGAAATTTACCCTGGCTTTTAAAGGAATGGGATATGCTGTTTTTTCTTTACTACTCCCATCTCTCTCTTCGACTTCTTCTTTGTCTCTTCCTCTCTTTTTAACTCTTTCTTTGACTTTCTGTGTCTGTCCCTCTTTTTCTCTGACTCCTTTTCTTTGTCTCTGTTTCTGACTCCCTCTTTGACTTTCTGTCTCTGTCTCTTCCTCTGACTTTCTCTTTCTCTCTTTTCTTCTTGCTGGTCTTTCCCTACCTCTGGCAGCCGCTTATGCTGCTGTTCTCCCCTCTCCTTCCCATTTTGATAGCTTTGTCAGTGTAAGACCAGCACTTTTGGAGGCCAGGGCGGGCGGATCACCTGAGGTCAGGAGTTCAAGACCAGCCTGGCCAACATGGTGAAACCCTATCTCTACTTTAAAAAAATACAAAAATTACACGGGCATGGTGAGGTGCACCTGTAGTCCCAGCTATTCGGGAGACTGAGGCAGGAGAATCGCTTGAACCTGGGAGGCAGAGGTTGCGGTGAGCCATGATCGTGCCACTGCACTCCAGCCTGGGTGACAAAGTGAAACTCTGTGTCAAGAAAAAAAAAATGATTAAGATGGTAAATTTTAGGTTATGTGTATTTGACCACAATAAAAATAATTGTAAAAAGAGACAAGCATTGCCCCCTAAATTTCTGTACCTTATGGAGGTCCATTCCTCAAGGGAGTAAAAACCTCCAGGAGTATCTCCTTCACAATAAAGTCTGGTGAGAGCGAAGCAAAGAGAGCATCAGGGGAAAGTTGTAGGCAAGAGATCTGATTTCACTTCAAAGACAAACTCACGGCAGGACTCCGTGCCTTACCCATTTATCTCAGAAGTCAGGAGTGAGATGGATGTCACAGGAGATGTATTTGCAGACTTATTTAGTCTAAAAAATAAAGGCAGAATTCTGAGGACAGAAAGTCAGTGTGGGCTGATTTGACTTTATGATGAGAAGATAAAAAGGGCTTTGCAATGTGGTTAGGTGACAAGATTTCCTCTAAAGTAGTCAGCAAAACATGCAGCCTCAGTGTTTGATAAAATATATTTAAAGCATAATTGCGATAAAATTTTTGTTAAGAGCCAGGCACAGTGGCTCACGCCTGTAATCCAAGCACTTTGGGAGGCCGAGGTGGGTGGATCACCTGAGGTCAGGAGTTCGAGACCAGCCTGGCCAAAATGGTGAAACCCCATCTCCACTAAAAATACAAAAATTAGCAGGGTGTGGTGGTGTGTGTCTGTAGTCCCAGCTATTCGGGAGGCTGAGGCACAAGAATTGCTTGAACTCGGAAGGAGGAGGTTGCAGTGAGCCGAGATCGCACCACTGCACTCCAGCCTGGGTGACAGAGCGAGACTCCGTCTCAAAAAAAAAAAAGAATATTTTATTAGCAAGTGTTTGATAGTAATTTTAGAAGACTTGAAGATATCCTCCTTGTTTAATTTTTCAGAATCTAGGAAAACAAATGACAGTTAACAGGGGCTGGGCGCAGTGGCTCATGCCTGTAATCCCAGCACTTTGGGAGGCCGGGGTGGGAGGTTCAGTTGAGGCCGGAGTTCAAGATCAGCCTGGACAATGAAGCGAGACCTCACCTCTAATAAAAATTTTTTTAAAATTACCCGGGTGTGGTGGTGCATGCCTGTAGTCACAGCTACTCAGAAGGCTGAGGTGAAAGGATTAGTTGAGGCTAGGAAGTCAAGACTTCAGTGAGCCGTGATTGTGCCACTGTACTCCAGCCTAGGTGACAGGGTGAGACCCTGTCTCAAAAAACAAAAACAGTTAACAAATCCTTTTCCAACTTTGTTGTTTTCCATTCTTTGCTTTCAGTAAAATTGAAAGAAGATCTAATAGACCTATCAAATAATATAAATTATAATATTAAAATTAATATATTTATTAATTATATTATTTAAATAATAATATATTATATAACATATGGTATTATAAAATAATATAATGAATATTATTATTATATTATTCGACAGTTCTATTAGATCTTCTTTTAATTTTACTGAAAGTAAATATTTGATGATAGATCACTATATGGTTTTTGAAATATAACTGAACAGCTTTCAAAGAATTGAGTGACATTGCTATAATAAATTTTTTGGCCTCACCATCTACTTATTTCTGAGAAAAAGCTTCCTCAGCTCTTCTATTCAAATAAGACAAAAAAATTGGAAGAATATTGTTGCTGAGTCTTCTCTCAATCTATTAAGAAGGAATAGCTGTCTACTGATACATAATCTAATTCACAAACAACTGCCTTCATTTTATGAAGATTGTCTAATGATTACTTAACATGTATAAATAATCATTTGTTGTTTGTCACTTAATACATAACCATTAGGTTGTTTGATTAGTTATGCACTAATATTAATTGTAATGACAACTCACTCCAAAAGAAAACATCTAACATTAGGAATTATGGCCTCAGAAAAAAAATATGTACTGGCAGAGAAGTATGACAAGGTGATAAATCAGACTTACAAGCTTAAACATTGATTACATTAGGAAAATATTTTGGGAAGAAGTGGAACAGAAAGGCCCTTGATATTTCATCCAGTGGACTGGAAATAAGAGATCAACGAGAAAGGGAAAAATATGTCAAATTTTGAACTGTTAAAGAAGAGCCTATTCATGTGTTTATAAAAAATGGATGATGGTGGCTGTAAACCTACTGTTGTATTTGGATTCCATTTGATGCATTCAAAAGAGCAATGTAGCAATTTTACTTAAAAATATTGATGCGTACAATATGCCTAAAATTATTTATAATTGTTTAAACTTACAACAAAACTGTAGCTCTCAACTTAAAATGTTTGAGAAGAATCAGAATTTTTTGTTTTCTTTTAGAGGCTACTCTGTTCAATTAACACAGAACATTATGCTCAACGATTGCAGAATACACTTAAAAAAAAAAAGCAACAACAACAGCAACAAGTGAACCTAAACATTTATCAACAGACACCACATGCTGACCATAAAACAAGTCTCAATAAATTTCAAAGGACTAAAATCATACTGCTATGTGAGATAAATTAAGATAAATTAAAAGTAAGATAAATTAAGATAAATGTGATTTGTGCCCCCAAAACTTCATGTGTTGGAAACTAAATCCCCAATGCAACATTGTTGAGAGGTGGGACTTTTAAGAGGTCATTATGTCACAAGGGCTCTGCCTCATGAATGGATTAATGCTGTTATTGAGGAAATGGGTTCATTATTGCAGCAGGAGAAAACCCCTTATAAAAGAATAAGTTTGGCCCCCTTCCCTCTCTCACATGTGCTCTACTGCTGTCCCACCAGGGGATCCAGCAGCAGAAGGTCCTCACCAGATGCCCACACGTTGATCTTGGATTTGCCAGCATCTAGAACTGTGAGAAATTAATTTCTGCTTATTGTAAATTACCTAGGCAGTAGTATTCTGTTATAGAAGCACAAAACAGACTAAGACACATACTATGTTCTCTGACCATAAAATTTATCAGGAGAAGATGTCTGAAAAGTCCCCAAATTTGGAAAGTAAGCAACATACTTAATTTGGAAATTACATACTTACTTTCCAAATTAAGTATGTTGCTTAATAACATAATTAATATACTTAACACACTTAATGTTGCTTAATAACATACTTAATTTGGAAATTAAGCAACATACTTTTAAATAAATCATGGGTGAAAGAAATCACGGGAAAAAGCTAGAAAATAATAAAATAAATTAAGCCAAAAATAAGTAAAAGAAAAGAAATAATACAGAAAAGTGTATAAATCAATTGAATAGAAAATGGACAATTAACAGGGCGGGAAAAACAATAAAAACAATTTTTTTCTTTTTCTTTTCTTTTTTTTTTTTTTGAGACAGAGTCTTGCTCTGTCACCCAGGCTGGAGTACAGTGGCATGATCTTGGCTCACTGCAACCTCCACATCCCAGGTTCAAGCAATTCTCCCACCTCAGCCTCCCGAGTAGCTGGGATTACAAGCATGCACCACCATGACTAACTAATTTTTGTATTTTTAGTAGAGACGGGGTTTCACGATGTTCCCCAGGCTGGTCTCCAACTCCTGGCCTCAAGCAATTTACCCACCTCAGCCTCCCAAAGTGCTGGGATTACAGGTGTGAGCCACTGCACCTGGCCAAAAGTTTGTTCTTTATTTAAACAGAAAACAAGACTGACAGAAAAAGTTGGTTCTTTGGAAAGATTAATAAAGCTGATAAACACCTAGCAAGGCTGATGAAGAAAAAAAAGGAATGCAAATGTTCAGTCTTAGGAAGGAAAGAGTGGCCATTTATATACATCATGCAAACACAGAAAGGTTAATCAGAGAACTGTGTGCAGCTTTATGCCAATACATTTGACAGCTTAGATGAAATGAAATTCTTTGAAAGATACAAGTTACTGAAACTTACACAAGCTGTAGTAGAAAATCCAAATAGTCCTATATCTGTTAAAGAAATTACAGCTGTAACTTAAAACTTCCGACAAAGAAAACTCCAGGTTGAGATGGCTTCACTGGCAAATATTATCAAACATTGAAAGAAGAAATAAGGCTGGATGTGATGGCTGATGCCTGTAATCCCAGCACTTTGGGAGGCCAAGGCAGAAGGAGCACTTGAGCCCGGGAGTTCAAGACCGGCTTGGGCAACGTAGTGTGATGCTGCTTTACAAAAATATTTTTTTAAAAATTAGCCAGACATGATGGCACACGCCTGTAGTCCCACCTACTCAGGAGGATGAAAGGGGAGGACTGCTTGAGCCTGAGAGTTTGAGGCTAATAAATCTTACTCAAACTCTTTGAGACAACAGAGTAGAGGAATACTCCTCAATTCATTTTATGAGACTAGAATTACCCTAATGTCAAAACCCATAGAAGATATTACAAGAAAACCACAAGCCATTATTCTTGAATACAGATACAAAAATTCTAAACAAAATATAAGCCATAGAATTCAGAGGTAAATAATAAGAGTAATTGAGCATAACTAAGTAGGGTTTACCCCCCACCCCCAGGAACACCAGGTTGGTTTAACATCTGAAAGTCAATCCATGTACTTCTTTACATAAACAGAAGAAAAGAGAAAAATCATATGATTATGTCAATAGATTCAGTAAAAGCATTTGACAAAATTAAACAAAAACAAGTCTCTCAGCACGTTAGGAAGAGAAGACTATCTTGTCTGATAAAGGACATCTACAAAATATCAACAGCTAACATCATACTTTGTGATGGGAGAATGAACACTTTCCCCCAAGACAGTGCCTTCTCACTACTACTCAGCATTGCATTAGATTATTTAGCTGTTGCAAAAGGGAAGATAAATAAAAAGCACACAGGTTAGAAAGAAAGGAGGAAAACTGTTCTATTCACAAATGACACGATTGTGTACATATTAGAAAATCCTAAAGCACCTACAAAAAACCTACTACAACTAATAAGAGAATTCAGCAAGACTACAGGATAAAAGGTCAATATGCAAAAATAAATAGCATTTCTACATAGTAGCCACAAATGGTTGGAAAATATAATTTTTAAACATTTCACTTAGGAAAAAATGAAATACTTAAAAAATAAATTCAACAAAAGATATGCAGGACCAACACAAAACAGGATAAAACATTCCAGAGAGAAATTAAGAAGATCAAAATAAATGGGTAGGTATTTCATGCTCATTGATTGGAAAACTTACCACTGTTAAGATGATAATTCTCCCTAATCTGTTTCTAAAATATATGTATTTTTAGAAGTGCAGAAGAGGTCAGGCATGGTGGCTCTCGCCTGTAATCCCAGCACTTTGGGAGGCCGAGGCAGGCAGATCACCTGAGGTCAGGAGTTCGAGACCAGCCTGCCCAACATGGCGAAACTCCGTCTCTACTAAAAATACAAAAAAATTAGCCGGGCGTGCTGGCAGGCTCCTGTAATCCCAGATACTCAGGAGGCTGAGGAGGAAAATTGCTTGAATCTGGGAGGCGGAGGTTGCAGTCAGTGAGCCGAGATCATACCACTGCACTCCAGCCTGGGGGATAGAGGGAGACTCTGCCTCCAAAAAAAAAAAAAAAAGAAGTGCAGAAGAACCTAGAATAGCAGAAGGAACCTAGAATAGCAAAAGGAAGAACAAAATTAGAGGTCTTACACCGCCTGATTTTAAGACTTACTATAAAACTAAAGAAGTCAAGACAGTGTGATATTGACATAAGGAGCAACAAACAGGTCAATGGAACTGAGACCAAAGGAGTAGTTCCAGGGACCAAGAGGCGGCCTTGTTGGCCATCTCAGAGCACGCACCACTTGGGGAAGAAACAGTTACCTTCCCAGTCCTATGCTCCCGGAGATGTGTTGTGTGGGCCTTCTCTGGGCTTGTCTGATTTCCAAGCTGATCTTGACTGAGCATAGAGCCCTTAGAAAGTTGAACCTCAAAGACCACAAATGTATGCTCAACTGATTTTTTACAAAAGCATCAAAGCAATCTTTCAGAAAAAGGAAATTTTTTTTGTCAACTGGTGCTGGAATAATTAAATATATACAAGAAAAAAAAATCTTCGATTCCCTACTTCATACTATACATAAAAATCAATTCAAGATGGCTCATAGATCTAAATATAAAACTTATATGAGAAAATAGACTATATTCCAGGTGTGTGTGGTAGCTCACACCCGTAACCCAGCACTTTGGGAGGACAAGGCAAGCAGATTGCTTGAGTCCAGGAGTTCAAGATCAGCTTGGAAAACATGGCAAAGCCCCATCTCTACAAAAAATACAAAAAAAAAAAAAAATAGTAGGGGCATGGTGGCATGCACCTAGAGTCCCAGCTATTTGGGAAGCTAAGGTGGGAGGATCACTTGAGCCTGGGAGGTAGGAGGTTGCATTGAGCCAAGATCATGCCACTGCACTCCAGTCTGGGTGACAGAGTGAGACCCTGTCTCCAAAAATAATAATAATAATAATTTTTTAAAAACCCACTAATCTAACACACACAGAACTGCTGATTGTTAAAAGACAGTTAAGAAAATAAGCAGGCAAGCTACAGACCTAGAGAAAATTCTTAGCAATTCCTACATCTGACAAAGGGTTGTATGAGGAACATGGAAAATCTGTAATCAAAAGACAACCCAATAAATAATGGACAAAAGATGAACAGAAACTTTACAAAGAAATACAAAGAAATGGACCGTAAGCATCCTTAAAAAGGCCTAAAACATTCCAGAGAGAAATTAAGATCAAAATAAATGGGTAGGTATTTCACACATAAGGAATCTTATGGTCCATTTCTTTGTATTATTCGTCATCAGAGAAATGCAAAAAACATAATGTAATAACATTAACACATGGCTGGCTCCTCAGACTCCAGCATTTTTTGTTGATTTGTTTGTTTGTTTGAGACAGAGTCTTGCTCTGTTGCCCAGGCTGGAGTGCGGTGGCATGATCTCAGATCATTGCAACCTCTACCTCCTGATCTCAAGCACTTCTAGTGCCTCAGCTACTTAAGTAGCTGGGATTATAGGCATGCGCCACCACACCCAGCTAATTTTTGTATTTTTAGTAGAGACGGGGTTTCACCATGTTGCCCAGTGTGGTCTCGAACTCCTGGCCTCAAGTGATCTGCCTGCCTTGGCCTCCCAAAGTGCCAGGATTCCAGGCTTGAGCCACTGTGCATGCCCTGTGTTTTTTTTTTGTTTTGTTTTGTTTTGTTTTTTTTGACAGGGTCTCACTCTGTCGCCCAGGCTGGAGCACAATGTCATGATCATGAAGCACTGTAGCCTTGACCTCCCAGGCTCAAGTGATCTTCCCACCTTAGCCTCCCGAGTAGCTGTTTCAGGCACGTACCACCATGTCCAGCTATTGATTGATTGATTGATTGAGACAGGGTTTTGCCATGTTGCCCATGCTGGTCTTGAACTCCTGGGCTCAAGTCATCCTCCTGCCTTGGCATCCCAAAGTGTTAGGATTACAGGTGTGAGCACCATACCTGGCCCACATGTCAGCTTTTGAGTATAAAGGTGGCATCTTAACCTTCATCCTTCTTTCTGCTTTATTCTTTAATTTGTTCAAGATTCCAGTGAAAAGAAGAGGTCCCCCAACAATTCTTTCATCTCTGAAATGGTTATAATTGTCCCTTGGGATTATACTAGAAACCAAATGTGGTAATGGCATCCTGAGACCTTGTAGGCAAACAATCCCTACCCGAGCTCCCTTCTCATCACTTTTCTCAGATAGCTCGCCCTGGGTTTAGAAAGTTCTCTCCCCACACTCTTCATGCCCCACAATGGCCAGTCTCTGCCTTTCCCTCTCCCCAGCTATTGCCAGAAGGTCCAGAGACTCACAGACCGGTGTCACCCCTGCCCAGCCTGTCTATGGTTGTTTCTCTGCCCTGTCCATCGGTCACTGCCCTGCCCCTATCTAGCCCTGACAAAAAGTGCAAGTGGTAAGGATTTCAGGGCCTTTTTCTTTTCTCCTTAAAAATTACAAGAAGACTGGGTGCAGTGGCTCCTGCCTGGGCAACATAGGGAGACCCTGTCTCTACAAAAAAAAAAAAAAATTTTTTATTTTGTCTTTTGAGACAGAGTCTTCTCTGTTTTTTTTTTTTTTTTTTTTTTTTTGGAGACATTGCACTCCCAGGGTGGAGAGCAATGGTGCAACCTCAGCTCACTGCAACCTCCTGGGTTCCAGCGATTCTCATGCCTCTGGCCTCCCAAGTAGCTGGGACTACAGGTGCACACCACCACACTCAGTTAATTTGTTTGTATTTTTAGTAGAGATGGGGTTTCACCATGTTAGCCAGGTTGGTCTTGAGCTCCTGACCTCAAGTGATCCGCCTACCTCGGCCTTTCAAAGTGCTAGGATTATGGCTGTGAGCCACTGCACACAGGTAAAAACATTTGTTAAATTTACAATAATTTTACCAGAATCTCATGCTGTTAAGACACATTAAGATTCTGGAGTTGCCAATTCCTTTTTTCCTTTGGCAAAAACAAAAGACAAATAAAAACAAAACAAAGGCTGAGCTCCTCAGCTAGAAAGCAACCAGCCTTTGCTGTGCCGTAAGTTGGGCTGTTTTTCACGAAGGTGCCAATCAAAGCCTAACTAGGTCATGGGACAAGAAGCCATTTTTTCCCGAAGTTTCTTCTGCTCAGAATAAATGGACTTGAATTTACAATCTTTCCAATTTGACCCCAAGTCGGACGCATGAGGGAGATGACCTTCCTTCTTTTGTATATCTATATCCACATCTTTCCTTCTTTTCTTGGATTTTTTGCATTTTTTAAAGATCAGACCAGCTGGGTGTGGTGGCTCACACCTGTAATCCAAGCACTTTGGGAGGCCAAGGCAAGCAGATCACTTGAGGTCAGGATTTCTAGATCAGCTTGGCCAACCTGGTGAAACCTCGTCTCTACTAAAAATACTAAATTAGCCGGGTATGGTGGCACATACCTGTAATCCCAACTACTTGGGAGGCTGAGGCAGGAGAATCGCTTAAACCCAGGAGGCAGAGATTGCAGTGAGCTGAGATCGCACTACTGTACTCCAGCCTGGGCGATAGAGCCAGACTCTGTCTCAAAAAAAAAAAAAAAAAAATGGATCAGACCAATAGCCCTAGTTTAAGAAGCATCCCTGGTCTCACTCCGGAGGCACGTTGTGTTCATCCTTCCTTGAACTGTGAGTTCATCCTTGAGTCAGCATTTACACCAGAACTCACTCAGTTTTCCTGCCTCTCTCTTCCTTAGACAGTTTTCTATATTAATGATCTTGGTGCCCACAGGATACCATAATGTCATAAAAAACATTGTTCCCAGGCCGGGTGCAGTGGCTTATGCCTGTAATCCCAGCACTTTGGGAGGTCAAGGCGGGTGGATCACCTGAGGTCAGGAGTTCAAGGCCAGCCTGGCCAACATGGCGAAACCCCACCTCTATTAAAAATACAAAAATTAGCCAGGCGTGGTGGCAGGTGCCTGTAATCCCAGCTACTCGGGAGGCTGAGGCAGGAGAATCGCTTGAACCCAGGAGGCGGAGGTTGCAGTGAGCCGAGATCGTGCCACTGCACTGCAGCCTGGGTGAAAAGAGTGAAACTTCTTCTCAAGCAAAAAAACAAAAAACAAAAAGCACTGTTCCCAGTGAGTATTAGCTCTCTGATTGGACTGTATGAGGGCAAAGACCCAATTTTATAATACTTATTAAATCATGCTTTGATATGGTTTGGCTGTGTTCCCACCCAAATCTCACCTTGAATTGTAAGAATCCCCAAGTGTCAAGAGCAGGGCCAGGTGGAGATAACTGAATAATGAGGGCAGTTTCCCCCATACCGTTCTCGTGGTGGTGAATAAGTCTCACGAGATCCGATGGTTTTATAAAGCGCGGTTCCCCTGCACACGCTCTCTTGCCTGCCACCATCTAAGATGCCCCTTTGCTCTTTGTTCGTCTTCTCCCGTGGTTTTGAGTCCTCCCCAGCCATGTAGAACTGTGAGTTCATTAAACCTCTTTCCTTTATAAATTACCCAGTCTCAGGTACGTCTTTATTAGCATTGTGAGAACAGACTAATACATGCTTTGTCCTGAAAACTGAATTGAATTAAAGACCATTCTGAATGTAGAATTTCTTGCTATCAAATGACCAACTCAGATCTTCCTAAGGTAGGCCAGGAGATGTTAATAGGGGCTCCGTATAAAAGATGGCATAGTCAATGAGGTTTGGGAAGTTCAAAACAAAATTAAACAGATTTTCTGATTGCACGACTTGTCAGATTGTCTAACTGCAGGACTCATCAGAGCCTTTAATACACTACTGTGCAGTGTGATTCTGGTAGGGAAAAGGGGAATAGAGTGTGTAATATTTCCCAAATTTTTTTGACTGTGGAACCCTTTCACCTTGGAGCATCTTGTAGTACTACTCACTCCAAACCTTGGGGAAGCGGCATTCTAATGTATCCCTCGGGGCTGAGGAGCAACTGGGAATTCACATAGGACAATACTCCGTCCCAGGAAGATACATTTTGGTATTCAGTAGGAGGGTAGCGGGGAAAGGGGTCAAACCTGCCATTCTCCAGCTCTTTTGGTTGTCCAAGCCCATCTTTTAGGACTTAGCATAGCAAAGCCTCTTCACAAGGCTCTCCTTCAAAGCCATCCCCACGCGGAGGACAAGACTGGGGCCTGTGTCCCTGGCCTCCTTTGGCACGGCTCAGCCTCTGCTCTAGCTTCCTGAAGTGGCTCAGTTCCTGTGCTCCATGGGCCTACCTCAAGCTGTACCTAGACACAGCCCTGGCTGAGCGCTGGCGGAGCTGCCAGGGCTGTGAGGGGCTCAGAACACAGCCATACATTCACTGGATTCCTGGACGGCCAGGGACCCCAGCCAGCTGGGCCATCGCTTCTTCCACAGGCCTTGCCAATGCGTTTTTTTTTTCTTTTCATTTCCCTATAAAGTTCATCGTGAAACCAGAAAGCAGCTCTGTGTTTCTTCTGCAGAGAGAGAGAGAGAGAGCCTTTGATCAGAGAAATGGCCACCTCTCCAGGCGCCAGCTCAGGCCCGGGTTATCAATAATACATCTGTACGGAGGCCCTGCTTCCTGCAAAGGTGTGCCAGTCCCTGCCTTCCAGGCTGGGAAACGGTGTGATATCAACCTAAAACAAAGTACAAGCACTTACTAGTCCCCGTGAAGTGCTGTGTTCCCTGGGGTGATCACAGGCCAGGAGGAATTCAGAGGACAGAGACAGCGGCATTGGAGCCCTCAGGAAGCTTCCTGCAGAGAGAATTGAGCAGAATCTAGAAGGATCAGTATAATTCCTTAAATAGCAGTTTTGGCTATTTCCCTAATTGTAAAATAACTGCACAATAATTGCACAAAACTTAACAATATGAAAAAAAAATGGCCGGACGTGGTGGCTTACGCCTGTAATACCAGCACTTTGGGAGGCTGAGGCGGGTGATCACTTGAGGTCAGGTGTTCAAAACCAGCCTGGTCAACATGTTGAAACCCCATCTCTACTGAAAACACAAAAATTAGTCTGGAGTGGTGGCACACGCCTGTAATCCCAGTTACTTGGGAGGCTGAGGCAGGAGAATCGCTTGAGCCCAGGAGGTGGAGGTTGCAGTCAGCTGAGATCACACCACTGCACTCCAGCCTGGGCGACAGAGCAAGACTCCGTCTCAAAAAATAATAATAATAATAAAATTGAAGGAAGAAAATAAAGACCATCCCTACTGCAAGTGTTTTTTTAATGCACGTATGTGCATTTTTTCTTTTGTTTTGAGACGGAGTCTCGCTCTGTTGCCCAGGCTAGAGTGCAGTAGTGCGATCTTGGCTCACTGCAACCTCCGCCTCCCAGGTTCAAGCAATTCTCATGCCTCAGCCTCCCCAGTAGCTGGGATTACAGGCACGCGCCACCACACCTCGCTAATTTTTTGTATTTTTAGTGAAGATGGGGTTTCACCATATTGGCCAGGCTGGTCTTGAATTCATGACCTCAGGTAATCCCCTGGCCTTGGCCTCCCAAAGTGTTGGGATTATAGGCGTGAGCCATCATGCCTGGCTGCATTTTTTAATCAAAAAACAGATGAGTCTGTGAATATCTGTGTACATTCATACCAGTGGTTTTCAAGCTTAGATGTTCATTCCAATCACCTCAAATGTTTGTAACAAATATTGACGTCCAGATCCCAGGCAATCTGAGTAAGAATCTTACAGGTTGGGTCCCAGGCATTGGTGGTTTTTGCTTTTTGTTTTGTTTGTTTTTGCTTGAGACAGGGTCTTGCTCCATTGCCCAGGCTGGAGTGCAGTGGCGTAAACAACTCCCTCCTGAGTAGCTGAGACTACAGGTACATGTGACCATTCCCAGCTGATTTTTTTTTTTTTTTTTTTGAGACAGGGTCTTGCTCCATTGCCCAGGCTGGAGTGCAGTGGCATAAATAACTCCCTGTTGCCTCAACCTCCTGGGCTCAAGTGATCTTCCTGCCTCAGTCTCCTGAGTAGCCGAGACTACAGGTACATGTGACCATTCCCAGCTAATTTTTTTTTTTTTTTTTGAGACAGAGTCTGGCTCTGTTGCCCAGGCTGGAGTGCAGTGGCGTGAACTCAGCTCACTGCAAGCTCCGTCTCCCAGATTCACGCCATTCTCCTGCCTCAGCCTCCCAAGTAGCTGGGACTACAGGCGCCTGCCACCACGCCCAGCTAATTTTTTGTACTTTTTTCAGTAGAGATGGGGTTTCATTGTGTTAGCCAGGATGGTCTCGATCTCCTGACCTCGTGATCCACCTGCCTTGGCCTCCCAAAGTACTGGGATTGTATACAGGCGTGAGCCACCACACCCGGCCTTTTTTTTTTTTTTTTTTTTTGATACAGGGTCTGGCTCTATAGCCCAGGCTGGAGTGCTGTGGTGAAATCACAGTTCACAGCAACCTCTGCCCCCAGGCTCAAGTACCTCTGCCTCTGCCTCCCGAGTAGCTGAGAATACAGGTGTACACCACCACGTCCAGCTAATTTTTGTATTTTCTGTAGAGACGTGGTCTCACTTTGTTACCCAGGCTGGTCTTGAACTCCTGAGTGCAATCGATCTGCCCTCCTTGGCCTCCCAAAGTGCTGGGATTACAGGTGTGAGCCACTGTACCCAGCTAATTTTTATATTCTTTTGTAGAGACCAGGATGGAGAGAGGAGTGGTCTCACTGTGATGCCCAGGTTGGTTTTGAATTCCTGGGCTCAAGTGATCCTCCTGCTTCAGCTTCCTGTGAACCGCTGCGTCTGGCTGGTCCTCATATCCTAGAGCCGTGGGCCGTCAGTGGGCTTCTCACTCACTCACCCTTGAGTGTCATCTTCAGGAGCGGGGCTCTGGCCCACCGGGCCCAGATGCTCTTTAGGTCCCTGATGGGTCTATGTCCCAGCAATGGAGATTAGAGCAGTGGTGGACCAATAGAGCTGGGCACCAGAGCACCATTCTCAGGCCTGGGGCAGCTCAGAAAATCGGCAGTGATTCAGGTTCTTGGGTCAAAAGGCCAGAAGCTGCTGAGCAATGGGGAGTATGGGGGTGGCAGCCAGATACTCAGGCCACCAGGGCACAGGCCGCCATGTTGGCAAAGCAGGCCTCAGAGGTGAAGGCTGGATAGAGGAGGCTGGGTCCTCTGCTGTGGTCACAGCATCGGCTGCAGGGCAAAGACTTTCACTGCATTTCTTTGAGGAGAGAGAAGCCCCAGGCGACTCCCAGTTCACAGTCTCAAGCCCGAGGTGTCAGACTCTCAGCAATCTTAGTGATGAGCTTCTTCTGGTTCCATGGACAAGCATCCCAGTGAGTCCTGGCAGAGACCTGCCCAAGGTCCTCATCCCTGGCTGAAGTCACCCCTCCACCTCTCCTCCTCCTCTTCAACCCTCCTTATCCTCTCCCTCCCCAAAAGGGTGAGGCTATTTTTTGTCACTCAAAGAATAAAAAAGCCAATGATATTGTTATGCCCTTTCCCCAAGACCTGCCTCGGTGATTCTTTTTCAGGACAATTAAGTCCTATCCATTCCAGGTGATCTTCCAGGACAATGGAGCCACCTACACTCCCCTTTCATAACTAGCTTACTCTCCTCTACCTTACATTTATGTGTTTATGTATTTATTTATTTATTTATTTATTTTTGAGACGGAGTCTCACTCTGTCACCCAGGTTGGAATGCAGTGGTGCAATCTTGGCTCACTGCAACCTTTGCCACCCAGGTTCAAGCAATTCTTCTGCCTCGGCCTCCCAAGTATCTGGGATTACAGGTTCGCACCACCACACCCAGGTAATTTTTGTGTTTTTAGTAGAGATGGGGTTTCACCATGTTGGCCAGGCTGGTCTTGATCTCCTGACCTCAGGCAATCCACCTGCCTTGGCCCCCCAAAGTGCTGTGATTATAGGTGTGAGCCACCGCACCTGGCCTTCAATATGTTAATAACCTGTATAGCCATAACAGCACTCACCTCCTGAAGTTCAACCCAGATATGGGGGATCTCATGGCAGTACTCCCTGCAGTTGTACAATGTCCCATTCTAGAAGCCTTTTCCAAAGCTCCTCTCAGCTAGCACATCCTATATCCTAGTTGTGATGGTGGAGGACAAATGTTTTATGGCCTCCTTGTGTGGCATGTGGGGAAATGGTGATACGCCAGCGAGTTTACAATTTTCCCTATAGACCCAAGGAAGTCATTGGTCAAGCTGGGAACAGGACACCCGGCTAGTGATGCTGATTCACTCTGGATGGAAACCTGGTATTTGCTAAGCGGACAGCTCCTGTCAGACTTAATCTCATGGGGGTCTTCTAGACACCATTGTCATGGAGACGGATCCTATTTCTGTCACTCAAGAGGAGAAATACTATCTGGATGCTCCAGAATGCTCTGGCTCAGTACTAGAGAACTGGGTCTTTCACAGGGAAATAAGGAACCAGAAAAAAATTCGGAAATGTGGTCCTGACTCACGGGACTCTCCCTTTCCACACTCATCTGTGTCAACACAGTCAGCTCCGAGGGATGTCAGAAGAGTTAAAACATTTGTTAAACCTGTCACTCTCGGCCGGGTGCGGCGGCTCACTCCTGTAATCCCAGCGCTTTGGGAGGCCGAGGCAGGGGGATCACGAGGTCAGGAGTTCGAGACCAGCCTGGCCAATATGGTGAAACCCCGTCTCTACTAAAAATACAAAAATTAGCTGGGCCTAGTGGTGTATGCCTGTAGTCCCAGCTACTTGGGAGGCTGAGGCAGAAGAATCGCTTGAACCTAGGAGGCAGAGGTTGCAGTGAGCCGAGATCGTGCCACTGCACTCCAGCCTGGGCAACAGAACGAGACTCTATCTCAAAAAACAAAAAACAACAACGAAAAAAAACTGTCACTCTCTTGCCCAACACACAAGCGTTCACACCGTATCTACAGCATTTCCTTCTTACTGCTCCTGAGACCTGAGGAAGGATGTTCATCTATATTCTCCATGAGGCTCCTGGAGGCTGAGTTCTGAGGGTCCCCTGGTTCTAAGGTCATAATTTCCCCTTTTGGTACAATCCTTATTTCATCCCTACCAAATGGGGGGCTCTCAGGAACATCATTAGTCCTCTGAGAATGAAGTGAAATGAAATAACAATATATTCTTTTAGTTATTTATTTATTTTTGAGACAGGGTCTTACTCTGTTGCCTGGGCTGGAGTGCAGTGGCGCAATCGTAGCTCACTGTAGCCTTGACCTCTCCAGCCTCCAGTGATCCTTCCCTGCTCAGCCTCAGGAGTAGCTGGGACTACAGGTGCCACCACACCTGGCTAATTTATTTATTTATTTATTTTTATATTTATTTATTTATTTATTTATTTATTTATTTATTTTGAGACAGAGTTTCACTCTTGTTGCCCAGGCTGGAGTGCAATGGCACAATCTCGGCTCCCTGCAACCTCCATCTCCTAGGTTCAAGCAATTCTCCTACGTCAGCCTCCTGAGTAGCTGGGATTACAGGTATGCGCCACCATGTCCAGCTAATTTTGTATTTTTAGTAGAGATGGGGTTTCTCCATGTTGGTCAGGCTGGTCTCGAACTCCCGACCTCAGGTGATCCATCCACCTTGGCCTCCCAAAGTGCTGGGATTCCAGACATAAGCCACTGTGCCCCGCCTATACCTGGCTAATTTTTAATTTTTTTTGTAGAGACAGGGTCTCCCTACATTGCCCAGGCTGGTCTCAAACTCCTGGGCTCAAGCAGTCCTCCTGCCTCAGCGTCTCACAGTGCGGAAATTACAGGCTTGAGCTACCATGCCTAGCCAACTATATATTCTTAATATGAGGTGTATGAATGGGCTTTTGAATGTTTGTTTCAGGTTAACATTTATAAGTGGGCCATGGCATCCTCTGCGACCTCATTTACATGAACACCTTTCCCCAAGGGTCATTTCAACTTTACATGAGTTATGCCCTCAGTTCCTGGTAGACCAAGTGGTGTATTGAGTCAATGCCATTGTCAACACTCAACAAAGTTAAATAGGCAAAAAAGACTTCATTCAAGACTTGTGCAATCAGCCAGGCATAGTGGCTCACGCTTATAATCCCAACAGTTAGGGAGGCCGTGGCAGCAGGATTGCTTGAGCCCAGGAGTTCAAGGCCATTCTGGGCAACATAGGGAGAGCTTGTCTCTACAAAATATCAAAAATTTAGCAGGGTGTGGTGGCACATGCCTGCAGTCCCAGCTCCTCGGGAGGCTGCAGTGGGAGGATCACTTGAGCCTCCTCAAGGAGGTTGAGGCTGCAGTGAGCTGTGATCACACCACTGCACTCCAACGTGGGTGACAGAGTGAGACCCTGTCTCAAAAATATATATATATCCTTAGGTAGGTCCTTGAGAAAGACATTTACTGGGTTGTGAAGCTGAAAGAAGTTGTGTATATTTCAAAGGGTCAGAGAAAGAATTTGCAATTGCAAATTGTCTTTATTTTTATTTTTATTTCTTTATTTTAATTTAATTTTATTTTAGACAGGGTTTCACTCTGTGCCCCAGGCTGGAGTGTGGTGGTGCAATCATGGCTCATTGCAGCCTCGAACTTCTGGGCTCAGGTGATCCTCCCGCCTCAACCTCTTGGGTAGCTGGGACTGCAGGCGCATGCCATCACGCCCGGCTAATTTCTAAAAATATATTATTTTAATAAGAGACAAGGTCTTGCTCTGTTGCCCAAACTGGTCTCAAACTTCCATGCTCAAGCAATCCTCCTTACCTCGGCCTCCCGAAGTGCTGAGACTACCCACATGAGCCACCATGCCTGGCTACAATTCCAAGTTTTCTAAAGTGCTTGTGACAAGGAAAGGGAGGTCAGGGGCCTGCAATTGGGAAGAAGCCTTCTAAAGTTTAGCCAGACTAGGGGGGAATGGTAAGGTCTCCTTGGTTATCTAAGTCAGTGCTTCATAAACGCACCCCAAATTTCACTCTTCTGCTTGGGAAAGACCTTAAGCCCAGCGATACACAAACTTGCAAATTTCAGGCTCCTGGTTGTGTGCTTTCTTATGACTAGCCCATTGAAATGAGCTCATAAATGTTTTCTTTCAATGCTTTCATACCAGAGTACTTCGGTTGATGAATTCAGCAAACATTTATGAAGCATCTGGTCTGTACCAGCACCATATTAGGTATGAACAAGGTGGCAACATCCCCTCAAAGAGATACCACAGCACTGAAGGAGATGGGTGAATAAATGAACATTTTAAATATGATGTGAGGCCAGGTGCAGTGGCTTATGCCTGTAATCCCAGCAGTTTGGGAGGCCACGGTGGGCGCATCACCTGAAGTCAGGAGTTCGAGACCAGCCTGGCCAACGTGGCGAAACCCCGTCTCTACTAATAATACAAAAATTAGCCAGGTGTGGTGGCACATGCCTGTAATCCCAGCTACTCGGGAGGCTGAGGCCGGAGAATCGCTTGAACCCGGGAGGTGGAGGTTACAGCGATCCTGCCACTGCACTTCAGCCTGGGCGACAGTGGGAGATTCCGTCTAAAATAAATAAATAAATATAATGTGAGAGTTCCTCAAAATAGTTAACAGAGTTACACATGACCCAGGAATTCCACTTGTAGATATCTACTCAACAGAAATGAAAACATACGTCCACACAAAGACTTGTACACAAATGTGCACATCAGCATTATCCATGATTGCCGAAGGATGGAAACAACCCAAAGTCCATCAGCTGATGAATGGATAAACATGTGGTATATCCGTACAATGGAGTATTTTTCAGCCATAAAAAGGGATGAGGATGCCGGGTGCAGTGGCTCACGCCTATAATCCCAGCACTTTGGGAGGGTGAAGTGGGTGGATCACCTGAGGTCAGGAGTTCAAGACCAGCCTGGCCAACATGGTGAAACACTGTCTCTACCAAATATACAAAAATTAGCCAGGCTTGGTGGCGGGTGCCTGTAGTCCCAGCTACTCAGGAGGCTGAGGCAGGAGAATTGCTTAAATCCAGGAGGCGGAGGTTTCAGTGAGCCAAGCTTGTGCCATTGCACTCCAGCCTGGGTGACAAGAGGAAAACTCCATCTCAAAAAAAAAAAAAAAAAAAAAAAGATGCGGTATGGATGCATGCTGCAACTGGATGTGCCTTGAAAACATTATGCTGAGTGAAAGAAAACCAGTCACAAAAGGCCACAGATTTTAGGATTCTATTTACATGAAATGTCTAGAATAGGCCAATCCCCAGAGACAAACCAAAGAAGAGTGATTGTCTAAGGCTTTGAGGTTAGGAAAAATGAGGAGTGACTGTTAATTTGTATGGGGTTTCTTTTTCAGGTGATAAAAATGTTCTAAAATCGATTGTGGTAACGGTTGCACAATTTTGTGAATATACTAAAAACCATTGAATGGTATACTTTATTTATTTTTTGAGAAAAAATAATAATCCTGGGAATACAGGTGCACACCACCGTGCCCGGCTAATTTTTGTATTTTTGTAGAGACGGGGTTTCACCATGTTGGCCAGGCTGGTTTTGAACTCCTGACCTCAGGTGATCCACCCGCCTCGGACTCCCACAGTGCTGGGATTACAGGGGTGAGTCACCGCGACTGGCCGAATGGTACACACTTTAAATGGGTGAATTGCATGGTATGTTGATTGTATCTCAAAAAGTCACAAAAATATACATTTATACATATACATACATTACAAAATGTAAAAACAGCTTCATGATACTCATCTATATGGGTCAAGGGCATGGTATTCAGGCAGACTTCAAAGAGGAGGTGATGGCTGAGATTAACTTGAAGGACAAGGGTTCCCAAAACCCTCCTGGAATGGAAAACATTGTCAAAAGGCCCAGAGAAGTGAGGCCTTCTTGAAGAACTGCAGGCAGCTCTGTATTCCAGCGCACAGGAGCCCGTGGAGGGGAGGAGGTAGGAGGGAGCTGGTCTTCATCTCTGTGAGACGGTGCAGTATGACAGTTATGACACAGACCCGGGGCCAGGCTACCCCGGGTTCAGTCTCAGCCCTGGACTTGCCCAGCTGCATGGCCTTGAGCAAGTCGCTCTACCTGTCTGTACCTTAATCCCCTCCTCTGTCACAAGGATGGAAGTGAGGATTAGAGTCAATGCACCCAAAGTCCTTGAATGTCACCTGGCACGTCCTGAGCATTGCATACATGTTAGCTAACGCGACACAATAATGAACCGTGGAGTGATTTTAAGCAGGGAACTGACCTGAAAGTTGTTCAGGAAGACCATCCTCCCAGCGACATGGAGGGTCTAAGCCTCAGCTTAGACAAGGCTGTCACCATCATCCGGGAGAGCAATGGTGTCTGAGAAAGGCAGGAGCAAGGGGACCGGCAAGAGCAGAGGGCATTTCAAAAGATGTAAGCAATAGAGTCACCAGGGTCTGAGGACTAAGGAGCTGGGCTGTGAGGGGCGAGGCTGTGCATTTCCGATGACTCCGGAGCTTCTAGTTTGAGTAGCTGGGGATGAACAGTGAGCTCATTCACAGAGATGGAGAAAACAGAAAAAAGAGAAATCTCAAAGGATATGTCTTTGGACAGATTCAGTGTACAGTACTTGTGTGTTTTTTTGCTTGTTTGTTTTTGAGACGGAGTCTCGCTCTGTCGCCCAGGCTGGAGTGCAGTGGCATGATCTTGGCTCACTGCAACCTCTGCCTCTCGGGTTCAAGTGATTCTCCTGCCTCAGCCTCTCAGGTAGCTAGGATTACAGGCACACGCCACCACGCAAGCTAATTTTTGTTTGTTTGTTTGTTTGTTTGTTTGTTTTAGTAGAGACAGGGTTTCACCATGTTGGCCAGGATGGTCTCGATCTCCTGACCTCGTGATCCACCTGCCTCGGCCTCCCAAAGTGCTGGGATTACAGGCATGAGCCACTGCTCCTGGCCACTTGTGGGGTTTAAATCAGGTCTTCTGACATCAAATCCAGCACTCTTCTCTTCTTCCCACAGCCACTAGAATTATGCCTTTGCCATGAGGTGAGGTGGCATGTTGTTCTTTGGGGTCTAATGTCACGAGGAGGCCACTTCTGCAGCACATCCAGCCCTGGTGGGCAGCCCGAGGGCAGGGGCAGCTGAAGGTGGAAACATATGGAAAATGAATGCCCATGGTCTAGACGGAGAGAAAGTTATAAGGCACTGACAGGTTGCGGAAACCAGCTATGGTCAGAACGCTGCTTGGAGCAGATCAGTGTAGCCACTAGGAATCTCAGGTAGGCTGGGCGCGGTGGCTCCCGCCTGTAATCCCAGCACTTCGGGAGGCCAAGGAGGGGGATTGCTTGAGGTCAGACATCAGATTACCCTGGACAACATGGTGAAACCCTGTCTCTACGAATTTTTTTTTTTTTTTTTTTTTTAGATGGAGTCTCACTCTGTAGCCCAAGCTGCAGTGCAGTGGCATGATCTCGGTTCACTGCAACTTCTGCCTCCGGGGCCCAAGCAATTCTCCTGCCTCAGCCTCCCAAGTAGCTGGGACTACAGGCATACACTACCACGCCCAGCTAATTTTTTGTATTTTAGTAGAGATGGGGTTTCACCATGTCGCCCAGGGTGGTCTCAAACTCCTGAGCTCAGGTGATCTGCCTGCCTCGGCCTCCCAAAGTGCTGAGATTATAGGCATGCGCCACCACGCCCAGCTGAAAAAATTTTAAAAATGATTTACCCAAGGCTGACTCGCCAGTGACGGGCACAGGTGCCTGGTGCATGGCAGCAGGTGTTCAATACAAGTTTGTGGCTGAAACAAATAGAATTAAAAAGGCACAAGTGGACTTAGGGTATGGAGGATGTCACGGGTTTGTCACATGTCCGCTTTCTCACTGGACGTCCCATCAAAATCGCTCAGCCCTGTGTCTGTCCCTCCCCTCTCCCAGTGACATCCAGTTCATTTGATAGATGAGCCCTGTGGCTCTGTCCTCATGCATTCGTTCAGCCATGTAGAGCCCTTGCTCCCATGTTCAGTGCAGGCCAGCCAGTATCCCAGGGGAGCCCACGTAGGGCCAGCCAGCATAGCCATCAACCCCATTTTCTTCCACTGGAAACCAACCCTTTATTTTGTTTACTCTGTCTCAGTTATTTTTCTGCCTTAACATTCTTTTCCTGGACGACGGTAAAGTCCATGAGGGATGTAAACATGAAAGTCTTTCTTTTCTTTTCTTTCTTTTTTTTTTTTTTAGATGGAGTTTCGCTCTTGTTGACCAGGCTGGAGTGCAATGGTGCGATCTCAGCTCACCGCAACCTCCACCTCCCGGGTTCAAGCAATTCTCATGTTTCAGCCTCCTGAATAGCTGGGATTACTGGTGCCCACCACCACGCCCAGCTAATTGTTGTATTTTCAGTAGAGACAAGGTTTCACCATGTTGGCCAGGCTGGTCTTAAACTCCTGACCTCAGGTGATCCACCTACTTTGGCCTCCCAAACTGCTGGGATTACAGGCATGAGCCACTGCACCCGGCCTTTTTTTATTTTTTTGAGACAAAGTCTCGCTCTGTCACCCAGGCCGGAGTGCAGTTGCGCAATCTCGGCTCACTGCAACCTCTGCCTCCTGGGTCCAAGCGATTCTCCTGCCTCAGCCTCTTGAGTAACTGGGATTACAGGTTCATGCCACCACGCCTGGGTAATTTTTGTATTTTTAGTAGAGATGGGGTTTTGCCATATTGGCCAAGCTGGTCTAGAACTCCTGGCCTCAACTGATCCACCTACCTCAGCCTCCCAAAGTGCTGAGATTACAGGCATGAGCCACTGCGCCCGACTGAAAGTCTTTCTTTTTTTAAATAGACATGGGGGTCTCGCTATGTTGCCCAGGCTTATCTCCAACCCCTGGCCTCAAGTGAGCCTCCTGCCTCGGCCTCCCAAAGGGCTGGGATTTCAGGCTTGAGCCACTTTGCCTAGCTAACATAAAAGTCTTGTAAGAGGGGAGCTTCAGGTAGGTATGGGCTGGGTTCTAGGTCTAGTGATGGTTCCCATTAGACAAACATTAAACGATGCCAGAAGGCTGACAGCAAAGAGTTGATGGTTCCTAACAAAGGCAACATTAGGAACACATCTCCAAGGGGACTGAGCTCTAATGGCCATGTTGGTGCTGATTTCATTAGTGGTCCCATTTCTGGGAACCCATTTCCTCCCCTACATGGAGTATGATGTGTGTCTTCCTAGAGATGCAGGATTAGCTGTGGAGCTTTTCAGATACCTGCCCTTCTCCCCCTCCGCTGTGGAAGGTGATTGAATTTGGCCTTGCTGTTTTTAAATTTTTTTTTTTTTTTTTTTTTTGAGATGGAGTCTCGCTCTGTTACCCAGGCTGTAGTGCAGTGGTGCAATCTCGGCTCACTGCAAGATCTGCCTCCCGGGTTCACGCCATTCTCCTGCCTCAGCCTCTCTGAGTAGCTGGGACTACAGGTGCCCGCCACCACGCCCGGCTAATTTTTTTTGTATTTTTAGTAGAGACGAGATTTCACCGTGGTCTCGATCTCCTGACCTCATGATCCGCCCACCTCTGCCTCCCAAAGTGCTGGGATTACAAGCGTGAGCCACCGTGCCCGGCCGCTGTTTTTAACTTTTAAATTTTTATTTTATTTTATTTTATATGTATTTTTTTTTTGGGACTGAGTCTTGCTCTGTCACCCCAGCTGGAGTATAGTGGCGCGGTCTCGGCTCACTGCAACCTCTGCCTCCCGGGTTCAAGTGATTCTCCTGCCTCAGCCTCCTGAGTAGCTGGGATTACAGACGCCCGCCACCATGCCCGGCTAATTTGTTTATTTTTATTTTTAATAGAGACAGGGTTTCACCGTGTTGGCCAGGCTGGTCTCGAACTCCTAACCTCAGGTGATCTGCCTGCCTCGGCCTCCCAAAGTGCAGGGGTTCCAGGCATGAGCCACCGCGGGAAGGCAATTGACTTTAAAGGGCTCTGGGACCCGCGGCCCCAGGAGTTTGTGTTTGGCTTGGCAGTGAGCATCAGCTGGAAGCAGTGCATCAGGTAAGGTGTTCTCTGGTCGCTGTCAGCATGACCCACACGTCTGTGTGTCACCCTGATGGGTATTCCAGTCATTATGAGCCCTTCTTGACTGACATTTAGATCAAAACTCCCCCATTGATCCTCTCTTCCTCCTTGCCCCCACCCATGCTTCAACCCTGAGGACCGGGGCCCTAACGTCCCTGGAGCAGGTGCCAGGACCTCCTTGACACAGGCCTTGGTCACTGGAACCCTGACTGTTAGGATGAGCCTTCCCAGCAGCAGATCCCCAGACACGGACATTGGAAAGGCCACTCCAAGACCGTCCCACCCAGGGCCCTAACTACAAGCTCTGCTTCTGGAGACATTTGCCAGGTGCCAAAAACATCTCCGTTGCTCCATCTAGGAGCAGCCAATGGAAAGGGCAGCCCAGCCCCCTCCTCCTCTCCCCCAGTGGTATCCCAGCCTCCTGCCTCTCTCTTCCCTCCCCCGCCTTCCTTCCTCTCGCCTGGGCTGCCTGCCTCAGAAGTGGGGACCCAAAGGGTGCAGGACGCCTGGTCTGCCTTGTGGGTCCTGGACGGAGCCCCTACCTCTGCAAAGATGACTTGGAGACAGGCCGTCCTGCTGTCTTGCTTCTCCGCCGTGGTGCTCCTGTCTAGTGAGTACAGGAGGGTCAAGGTGGAGGGTGTTAGTTACATGGTAAGGGAGACTTACCATGCACAGGTAAGGCTGCTCAGGTGATGCAGGTAGAAAGGAGTATGCTTATTGTTAACATGTGTGTATGTGTGTGTCGTGTGCATGTAGGACACAATGCAATACAGAAAAATAATAATAATAATAAAAAACAGTAAAGAAAGAAACAAAATAGAAAAAAAACCCAAGCCAGCTTGCTTGGTGGGTTCCTGGGGAGATTGGCTCTGCAGCTGGTACGTGAGAAACCACGGGCCCCCTGCCAGGCCCTGGCAGGACGCTTAGCCTGGAAAGAGAGATGGGGACTCAGCTCAGGGTCTGGGCTCCCCTCTGATGCTGCAGCCTCACTCTGTGCCCTTGTCCTGCAGTGCTGAGAGAGGGAACCAGTGTATCTGTGGGCACCATGCAGATGGCGGGAGAAGAGGCGAGTGAAGGTGAGTGCAGGGGCCACCCACGGGGCAGGGCAGGTGCAGCCAGCGAAGCAGCAGCCCCAGCACCCCCACACTGCTGGTGACAGGCCTCTCCCGGGTTTCAGATGCAAAACAGAAGATTTTCATGCAGGAATCAGATGCCTCGAATTTCCTCAAGAGGCGCGGCAAGCGGTCCCCCAAGTCCAGAGATGAGGTCAATGGTAAGGATGCTGGAGGGACCCCATCCCGCGTCCATCACCACCTCTGCTCACACCCCCCGGCTCCTCCTCTCCCACAGTCAGCCGGGCAGCAGGATGCAGCTGGGCACGAAGGGCTCACCCCAGGGTATCAAAGGGACTGCAGCTCTGAATGAGAAATTACACCCTATTTCCTGACTGTAGGTCGTATATTGGATTGAATACTTTGTCAGGGTTAGGAGGCCCCACCTCTGCAAAGATGACTTGGAGACAGGTCCTCTTGTCCTGCTTCTTGGCCATGATGCTACATTAAACACACCTAACAGGGATAAGATGCATTGGATTTCAGAAAGGTGTAGGGAGGGAAATCTATATTCTGGTCTGGAGGCGACCCACACATCAGTGTGTGCTTTGCGGGTACTGGTCCAGCACACCTTCTGTATAAGAGCAACAGCATCGCACATGGGGAAGGCACAGGACACTGGGTGCTGAGAAATGTGGGTCTGGGGACAGCTGTGCTGCTAAGTGGCCTTGGCTACTTCCTCCCTCTGGTCCTAATTTCCTTATTTATAAGCCTCTGAAAGAGCTGTGTTCAGCCAGCAGAGGTTTTTTTTTTTTTAAGTTTTCATTTTCAACACATTGGGGTGAGCCTGTCTGTTGCACAGCCTGCTGTAGGGCCTGTGGAGCCCCGGCTTCAGGGTCCTCATGCCCTTCACCTGCCAACCCCTGAGGGCATTTGAGTTTCTACTCCTGAACCTGCTTCTTCCAAGATGCTGAGCTCAGACAGTATCTCCCGAGTCTCTGGCTTGAGTCTTTCCTCCTCGTGCCTGTGGGTGAATGAACTCTTTGTATTCTTCAGGGCACTCAGCAAGGTGACTTGCTTGGTAAAAATAACAGGACTGTTTTCAAATGATGGGAAGAACAGAGATAGAAATGCTTGGAGATGAAATTTCTTTTTTTAAAAAAAATTGAATAAGTATAACCGTGCTAGGAAAACCTCCAGGCCTCATACAACTGGAGATTTAAAAGTTGGCCAATGTCAAGAAGCACTGAAAGGTTGGGAGGGGGGCTGGACTGTTTTTGATTAAAATGGGAGAAGCAATCTTCTGGCAGACTTCCAGGGGAAACAGGCATGATTTTAGGCCAGGCAAATAGCTTCTGTCCTCTTTTTTTTTTTTTTTTTTTTTTTTGAGATGGAGTCTCACTCTGTCGCCCAGGCTGGAGTGCAGTGGCAGGATCTTGGCTCATTGCAACCTCCACCTCCCAGGTTCAGGTAATACTCCTGCTTCAGCCTCCCAAGTAGCTGGAATTACAGATGCCTGCCACCACGCCTGCTAATTTTTGTATTTTTGTAGAGACAGAATTTTGCCATGATGGCCAGGCTGGTTTCGAACTCCTGAACTCAGGTGACCCCCCTGCCTCGGCCTCTTAGAGTGCTGAGATTACAGGCATGAGCCACCGCGCATGGCCTCTTCTGTCCTCTTAAGCTGACTCCAAACAATGAGCTACACCATTTAGCCTGAAGTGCCTTACCTCGGACAGAAGCTCAGTGTGTCAATTAGTCATGGGAGGTGCAGGACAGCCTGGTGAACACCCAGGATTGTGCATGAATGCATCTGCTGTCACCCAGTCAACTCCTGTGGATAGCAGGAGGGCAGTGCCCAGCGATGCCTCAGGTTGGATAAAGGGCAGGTGACAGACACTTCAGCCAACTTGAATTTGGAACCAGGAGACAGGCATCTGACATCTCTAAGCCTCTGGGATAAAGGTGAAGTTACTTTAGGGTGAAAAGAGAGTGTGATGAATGCATGTTCTTGAGAAGAAACGTATACAATGCACAGAATGACACATAGTATAAAATTACTATCTTGTCCTGAGGATTAAATTGTTCTTATTCATTACGTCAAAGCTCTAATTTGTGACACCTCTGAAAAGACCACTTGGGAAGATTGTTTGCTGTCCTGAGTACACAGGGGACAGAGGACGCTTCTTTAGGAATAGGCAGTGACTTACTAAGTACCTGCTTCCTAAACCCTAAGCCCCCGCACCTCCCACAACGGCTTTCTGGCGCTTGGAGCAACATCAGGACCCACAGTGGGTGGGAAGAGGGAAGCTGAGCCAGCAGTGGCGTGTGGGAACCTGGTACCCTAGCTCTGCCCCAATCTGCTGTGTGACCTCTGTTAGGTCATGCACATCTCTGAGCCTGAATCCCCTCTGAGAAATGTGTGAATGCCGAGTGAGAGGTGGGGCATGGGTATGGATGGGATAACCAACCCCTTCTGCCAGACTCAAGTTTCCTGCAACTAAGTAGGTCACGGCAGACGTTTGGGAAGAAACATTCCAGACGTCTGGAATCTGCACTAAGCCCAGTTCACAGATAACTTGATTTTTAATCTGAGTTAAGTAATAGAAAAGTAACAGAAATAACTAGTATTTATATAATTCATTAATTAAGGTAAGCGTCTTACTTCCAAGGATTTGAGATGGTTTGTTTGTTTATTTATTTATTTATTTTAAGACAGAGTCTCGCTCTGTTGCCCAGGCTGGAGTGCAGTGGCGTGATCTCAACCTCCACCTCCCCGGTTCAAGCAATTCTCCTGCCTCACCCTCCCAAGTAGCTGGAATTATAGGCACCTGCCACCACGCCTGGCTAATTGTTGTATTTTTAGTAGAGATGGGGTTTTGCCATGTTGGCCAGGCTGGGCTTGAACTCCTGACCTCAAGTGATCCGCCCGCCTCGGCCTCCCAAAGTGCTGGGATTACAGGCGTGAGCCGCCACGCCCGGCCTGAGATGGTTTCCAATATTATCATTTTGCAAAGACTTTTCCTTGTTTCTCCCAGCACCTCTGTAATGTGGGTTGGGGGTAGGGAACCATGACTTTCCCCAGCTTCTCTGCTTCCTTCAGCACCCCCCAGCCTCCTCTTGCACATCAGAGTTGATGGGGCAAAAAAACAGTACCTCCGTCTCCCCCATTTGGTGTGAGGGGAATCCCACTGTGAGATCGTGAGGCGTGCTGAGGGACTGGTTCTTCCTGCCCTAGACGTGGCCTCCCTGGCTTCATGGGTTTCTCCAGTTGAAGCTCGTGTTGGGGGAAATACCTTGAAAGTAGAGAGCTTTACATCGTTTCCTCCAGACAACCGGGAATTTTTATTCCAACAGCTGTAATGCTTGGTAAAACTTGTCTTATGTCTTTCTCCTTATTGAATTATAGGTCTCTTAAGCAGAGGGAAGGATTTTATTTTATTTTGTTTTTGAGACAGGGTCTCGCTCTGTTGCCTAAGGTGGAGTGCAGCAGTACAATCATAACTTACTGCAGCCTTGAACTCCTGGCCTCAAGCAACCCTCCTGCTTCAGACTCCCTAGTAGCTAAGCTCACAGGCGTGAGCCACCGTATCTGGCTGGAAGGACGGAATCTTTCTTATTCGGCTTTTTAATTCCAGTGCTTAGCCTACATCCTGGCCGTGATAAGAGCTCGAAAATGTTGAATGGATGTGAGATTAAGTTGTATTATTCCTTTAGGGAATTTGTTTCTGATTATGGGATTTCTGGTTTCCAAGTGGCCTGGTATACTTGGATATGCCACCAACTTTATAATCAGAGCTAAATCACTTTACTCTCTGGGGCCTCTATCTTCTCATTTGCAAATGAGGCAGCTGGATCAGATAATCACCTTCAAGTTTTAAAGTCTGTGTCAGGAGTAAATCATTTCAGGGAAGTCTCCAATCACAATCCCCCACAAACCACTCATCCCCCAACCAGGTGACTTCTCAGATGAACTGTGCTCCCCTAAGTGTGTGCCCCTAAGTGTCCTCATTCTTGAGGGGCAACTCTTGCTTCTTTTCCTTTCACAGTGGAAAACAGGCAGAAGCTTCGGGTTGATGAGCTGCGGAGAGAATATTACGAGGAACAAAGGAATGAATTTGAGAACTTCGTGGAGGAACAAAACGATGGTAAGAGCTCTTCAGCCAGTGTCTTCAGGGAGGTGGAGCGTTGGGGAGAAATCACATGGTTTGCTTTCTCTTCTTCTACCCAACTTTTTTTTTTTTTCTTTTTTTGAGACGAAGTCTTGCTCTGTTGCCCAGGCTGGAATGCAGTGGTGTGATCTTGGCTCACTGCAACCTCCACCTCCCAAGTTCAAGCGATTCTCCTGCCTCAACCTCCAGAGTAGCTGGGATTACAGATGCCCCTAGCTAATTTTTGTATATTTAGTAAAGACAGGGCTTTGCCATGTCGGCCAGGCTGGTACTGAACTTTTAATTGGAGGAGGGAGGAAAGGGAAGGTCTACTTTCAATTCATATCCAGGAGAGCCTTGAAAAGAAGGGAGGGCCGGGCGCAGTCGCTCATGCCTGTAATCCCAGCACTTTGGGAGGCTGAGGAGGGTAGATCACCTGAGGTCAGGAGTTTGAGACCAACCTGGCCAACATGGCGAAACCCCATCTCTACTAAAAATACAAAAATTAGCTGGGTGTGGTGGCGGGCACCTGTAACCCCAGCTACTCAGGAGGCTGAGGCTGGAGAATCGCTTGAACTTGGGAGGCAGAAGTTGCAGTGAGTGGAGATTGTGCCACTTCACTCCAGCCTGGGCAACAAGAGTGAAACTCCATATCAAAAAAATAAAATAAAATAAAATAAAAAGAAGGGAGAAAAATGGCTACACAGAACTTGAGAAGGTGTGGAAGGGGACAGAATACCCTTATTCCCATTGGCTTGGGGCTGTGGGGATGGGGCAACTGTTTGCTGACTGTGTGGATATTAAACTCCTTTCCCTCCCTCCTCCTATTTGGGCATCACCGCACTGGTCTGTGTTCTCCGTCTAAGCACCAACACTTAGGCTTAGCTCTGGCAGGATCATATTGGACAGAGTCCACACTCACTCGCAGGTGCCTTATATTCACGTCAATGTCCTGGCTCCAGGTCCTACTCCATCCTGGAAAATCAAGGCCTTCATTGACCTATTCAGTGTACTCAGCATCTTTACTGACTGGCAGAAGCAAACCAGGAAAGCTGAACTCAGAAAACAGCTTGCCTTCTACCCTCTCACCCCACCTGCAGCATCAACATCTACAGCCTATCTTCAGGCTCCAACTCATCCAAAAGCATCAGATCACCTGAAAATTTTTATATGGTTTTCTTGTGGCTTTATGCTTCTCCTATTTGTATCCTCTTCTCTAAGCCTTGGTCTTTTCCTTACTAGCAAAAAATAGAGAGTAGGAAAGGCCCAGGGAGGCCAGGAGTTTTGAGGGGCTGAGGTGGGCGGATCACTTGAGGTCAGGAGTTTGAGACTAGCCTAGCGAATGTGGCGAAACCCTGTCTCTACTAAAAATAATTAAAAATTAGCCAGGCGTGATGGTGCACACCTGTAGTCTCAGCTACTTGGGAGGCTGAGGCAGGTGAATTGCTTGAAACTTGGAGGTGGAGCTTGCAGTGAGCCAAGATTGCACCACCGCACTCCAGCCTGGGCAACAGAGCAAGACTCTGTCTCAGAAAAAAAAAAGAAAAGAAAAGGCCTAGACCAGAGAGTCCAGTGTCTCTGGCCAGGCATTCCGCACCCCTCAACCCCTTGGCAGACAGGGTTCCTGTCTGCTCTTAGAAAGTGCTGGCTGTGCCAGGGCTCAGTGGAGGATGGTGTGGCTGGGGACACGGGTAGAGGATGCTCTGTCTTTGAGCCACTGCCTTCCACGGAGTGGGATTTGATTTTGCTGTGAAGTACCCTCAAGGGTCACCCACAGCAAACATCCTTAGGACCGTTTAATGGGGATCACACCAGCATACCAGAGAATGTGTGTGTGTGTGTGTGTGTGTGTGTGTGTGTGTGTATTTCCTTTCCTTTTTTTTTTTTTTTTTTGAGACAGTCTCATTCTGTCACCCAGGCTGGAGTGCAGTGGCATGATCTCAGCTCACCGCAACCTCCCGCTCCGAGTTCAAGTGATTCTCCTGTCTCAGCCTCCCAAGTAGCTGGGATTACAGGTGTGCACCGCTATGCCCAGCTAATTTTTGTATTTTGGGTAGAGATGGGGATTTACTATGTTGGCCAGGCTGGTCACGAACTCCTGACCTCAAGTAATCTGCCCATGTCAGTCTCCCAAAGTGCTGGGATTATAGGCGTGGGCCATCGCACCTAGCCCTGTTTATTTATTTGGTCTTTCTCCAAATTTCAAGATTGTAATGCTCCTGAGGAAAATCACCTGGTACCTCCTGGGTGCACGTGAACTTGGACGTGAGGCCCCAGTTTAGGTCGCCTTTGTGGGAGAGAGTCAGCTCTTTCATTTCTCCTGGCCGTTTGCTCTGATGGACTGGGGAGGCAGCACCCTCGGAAGGCATCTCCTAGTGAAAAGGAAACCACCCCTGGGTCAGGTGCTGCAGGCTATGCCCATTGCCCTGCAGGTGCACCTGGCTGAGGCCTGCAAACAGGTGCTGGGCTTGGATCCTGGCAAATCAAACTTTCTTAGGAACATACTGGGAAAACTTCAGGCCATCACAGCTTGGAAGCACACACTTCTGCTAGAGATGTGTTTATCTTGGTGGGCAGCTTGGGGAGAAGCACTTAAAAGTTGAGAATGTGGCCTTCAAAATTCCTTCAGTGTGATTTTGACTCATACTATTAAAATAGCATTTTATTTTGAGCAGTTTTAAATGTTTTAGGCCCAAAGCTCTAGCATGTAGATGAAAAAACATTCACTGTTTTCCCTTTCTTGATGAATTCAGGATGCAGGGTTGGGCGCCTGCAGGTCCTCTTACAGGATAGGAAGACAGGAGACCCTAGGTCTCACCCACACAGATGGAGAAAACACAGGCCTTTGGGGAATGCAGTTCCAGAAGCTGTTGTCCTTGAGCCCTTGCTCTGCCAGGCACTGTAAGTGGCCACCTAATCCTCACGAACTGCCTCTGAGACAGGTCTTGTAATTTCCAGCTCATGTTTCAAAAATAGAGGCTCAGGCTGGGCACCATGGCTTACACGTGTAATCCCAGCACTTTGGGAGGCCAAAGTGGGAGCATTGCTTGAAGCCAGGAGTTCAAGACCAGCTTGGGCAACTAAGCGAGGCCCTGTCTCTACAAAAGAAAAAAAATTTTTCAATTAAAAAACATAAGCTGGGCATCGTGGCATGTGCCTGTAGTCCCAGCTACACTGGAGGCTAAGGCAGGGGGATGGCTTCAGCCCAGGAGTTCGAGACCAGCCTGAGCAACATAGAAAATGAGAAAATTAACTTGGCTGGTGGCATGTGCCTGTAGTCCCAGCTACTTGGGTGGTTAACAGAGGATCACTTGATCCTGGGGAGTTCAAGGCTAGAGTGACTATGATCATGCCACTGCACTCCAGCCTGGGCAACAGAGCAAGACCCTGTCTCAAAAAAAAAAAAAAATCCACAACAAAAATAAAAAACTGAGGCTTAGAAAGGATACATGTATACTCAAGGAGACGAGGCTAGTAGATAGCCCTAGCATTAGAACCCCAAGGCTTATTTGCCAGCAAAGCTCCTGTTCTTGTAAATCAAGGATGAGCAAATGCATAGAGGTCTTGGAGAGCTTCTTTGATCCAGGAATTGGCCCCCGGATGGAGTGAGTGAGAAAGATAAAGCAGAGTAGCCCTCAGGGGGTCTCCCCAGAGCTCCATCAAGGCAGGGGTCACAAGGTGAAGCAGGCCTGGCCTCCGGAGGATGAGTTTTGGAAAAGGTGGAAATCATTTCAATCTTCTTTCCTCTCCGTTGCCTGTGGCTCACAATGTTGCACGGGGTTCTGCTTGCCTGAAACCATCCCTGGGGCGGTGCTCAAGGCGTCTGACTTCCAAGCCCTCCCCTGAGGCCCCTGACATACCTGTCAGTCAGGACCCTGGTTTCAGCTAACTGTCCTATCTAACCAAGTCACCTATTCTTTTTTTTTTTTTTTTTGAGATGGAATCTCGCTCTGTCACCAGGCTGGAGTGCAGTGGCGCTATCTCGGCTCAATGAAACCTCCTCCTCCGGGGTTCAAGTGATTCTCCTGCCTCAGCTTCCTGAGTAGCTGGGATTACAGGCACCCACCACCACGCCTTGCTAATTTTTGTATTTTTAGTAGAGACACGGTTTCACCATGTTGGCCAGGCTGGTCTTGAACTCCTGACTTCAGGTGATCTGCCCACCTCGGCCTCCCACAGTGCTGGGATTACAGGCGTGAGCCCCCGCCCCCGCCCCGAGTCACCTATTCTAAGGGTTACTGATAGCAGTTGGATATTCGACATCTCCCCAAAGTACTTACTTCATAAAAGGAATGCCCACTGGGACTACAAGCCTGTAGTCCCAGGACTTTTGGAGGCCAAGGAATTTAGCCCTGGCAACATAACGAGACCTTGTCTCTATTAAAAATTAGCCCGGCATGGTGGTGCATGCCTGTAGTCCCAGCAACTTGGGAGGCTGAGGCTGAAGAATCACTTGAGTCCAGGAGGCTGCAGTGAGCTATGATTGTGCCACTGCACTTCTGCTTGGGCAACAGGATGAGAACTTGTCTCAAAAACAAAAACAACAAAAAAAGGGATGCTGAATCAACTTCTACGTCAAAACCACACTCTCAGGGTTGGCAAAGAGTAGCTCGTCTACTGAGCTTGAGAAATGCCCGAAAGAGCTGAAGATGAACACACAAAGCTCCGGCCTGGGCCTGGCTCTGTGAGCTCCAGGCTGCCCCTGGGCTATCAAGTACCTAATGGGATTTTCAGCACCAAGGGGAGGGCCAGCTCTGAGCCCACATAAGAAGGAAACACTTCTGGCAGCTGCGGTGCCTCAACATGCCTTGGTCACTGGGCCCTGCACCCAGCTGGGCCGAGGTGAGACTAGGCCTGAGCACGCGGCTCTCACAGGTGCTAAGGACCAAAGCAACATCTCCATTCCTCACACCCTGAAGCCACCAGGCGGTCCTGTTGGCCATCGCCACAGAGGATGCCAGTTTCACTTTCGCTAGTACCAAAATCAGGTTCATGGGCTTCTTGGTGAGGTCCACATTTGAGAAAACAGAGGTAAGAAAGACATCTTGGTTCTTTAATTCTTGACATCATCTTCTGTTAGGATTTCCCATCCTTCCAACATCTTTGACAAATGCATCTTAAAAATGTGATAAAACACACACAACATAAAACTTGCCATTTAAACTCTTCTTTCTTTCTTCCTTTTCCTTTCTTTTTCTTTCTCTTTTTTTCTCTTTCTTTCTTCTCTTTCTTTACTTTCTCTTTCCCTCCCTCCCTCCCCACCGCTTCCTTTCTTTCTTTTTTAGATGGGTTTTGCTCTGTTACCCAGGTTGGAGTGCAGTGGTATGATCATAGCTCACTGCAGCCTCAACCTCCTGGGCTCGAGCAATCCTCCCAACTCAGCCTCCCAAGTAGTTGGGACTATAGGCAAGTGCTATCACACCTGGCTAATATTTTTTTATTTTTTGTAGAGACGATGTCTTGCTAACGCTGCTCAGGCTGGTCTCAAACTCCTGGCTTCAAGCGATCCTACCAGCTTGGCCCCCCAAAGTGCTGGGATTACAGGTGTGAGCCACCATGCCCAGCATAAACTATTTTTAAGCATACGATTCAGCAGCATTTACTACATTCACTGTGCAACAGTCACTGCTATTTCCAAACCCTTGCATAGCCTCATACAGAAACTGCATTCATAAAGCAGTAACTCGCCATTCCTCCCTCCTGGAAGCCTCTGGCAACCTCTTTTTTTTTTTGTCTCTGTAAATTTGCCCATTCTAGGCTAGGTGCAGTGGCTCACGCCTGTAATACTAGTGCTTTGGAAGGCCGAGGCAGTTCGATCACTTGAGGTCAGGAGTTCAAGACCAGTCTGGCCATCAGGATGAAACCCCATCTCTACTAAAAATATAAAAATTAGGCGGGCGTGGTGGCATGCACCTGTAATCCCAGCTACTCCAGGTGGAGGCAGGAGAATCGCTTGAACCTGGGAGGCGGAGGTTACAGTGAGCCGAGATCACGCCACTGCACCCCAGCCTGGGTGACAGAGCGAGAGTCAAAACAACAAAAACAAAAACTTGCCCATTCTAGACATGTCATCTAAGTGGAATCATACATTATTCATCTTTTTGCGTCTGGGCTTATTTCACTCAGCAGAATATTTTTAAGGTTTGTCCATGTTGTAGAATGTGCCAGAACTTCATTCCTTTTTGTGGCGAAATTTTACACATACACACCACATTTTGTTTATCCATTTCTTTGTTGAGGGACACTGGGGTTGTTTCCACCTCTTGGCTGCTGTAACTGTTGCGCTACGAACATTCACGTAGAAGTATCCATTTGTGTGTCCCTGTTTTCAATTCTTTTGGGCATTTTCTTTTTTTCTTTCTTTTGTGTTTTTTTTTTTTTTGAGATAGGATCTCACTCTGTCGCCCAGGCTGGAGTGCAGTGGCGTGATCTCAGCTCACTGCATCCTCCACCTCCCAGGTTCAAGTGATTCTCATACTTCAGCCTCCTGAGTAGCTGGGATTACAGGTGTGTGTCACCATGCCTGGCTAATTTTTGTATTTTTTAGTAGAGACAGGGTTTCACCATGTTGGCCAAGTTAGTCTAGAATTCCTGACTTTGGGTGATCTGCCAGCCTCAGCCTCCCAAAGTGCTGGGATTATAGGCATGAGCCATCCCGCCTGGCCAATCACAGCACTTTGGGAGGCTGAGACAGGAGGATTGCTTGAGACTGGGAGTTGGAGACCAGCCTGGACAACACACTGAAATTCCACCTCCATAAAAAAATTAAAAAATTAGCCAGGCATGGTGAAAGGAGGCTGAAGTGGGAGGATCGCCTGAGCCCTGGGAGGTTGAAGCCGCGGTGAGTCATGATCACGCCACTGCACTCCAGCCTGGGTGACAGACTGAGACCCCGTCTCAAAACAAAACAAAACAAGAAAGAAAGAAAAAAAAAGAAAATTAATTCAGAACAGTATGGAGGAAAAAAAACTCCAAGTCGACAATGATTTCCTTCATGTTTTCAAGGCATGGTTTGTAGTCCCTTATTTTTCTTGCATGTCCTTCCAGTAGTCCATTCCTGCTACTGTGTTGTTACTTTTTCGTCTTGTGTCTTGGTTGTTAAGTCTTTGAAACAGGGCTGCATAAGCCTCTGCCCTCCTACACTGGCTGGGCAGGCAGAAGAGCCTGAGATGCCCGGCCCTGGTCTACACCTGCCTGTGACCTTCGCCCATCTGGGCCTGACTTATACACAAGGCTTGTCAGCTCACATACTCTGGATCCTCACCAGTCCTGGCCTTCTCTCACCAGGGCTCACAAACACTCTCAGTGCAGGTCACCACAGGGCAGGGGTTCGGCTGATGGCTGCTGGGCTCAGTGGCAGGTCAGAGTCCCCCTGTCCTAACAGGTGGCTTTGTCTTTCCTCCCCAGAGCAGGAAGAGAGGAGCCGGGAGGCTGTGGAGCAGTGGCGCCAGTGGCACTATGACGGCCTGCACCCATCCTATCTCTACAACCGCCACCACACCTGATCCCATCCTGAAGCCGGCCAAGAAGACAAAGCTTGTAGCACCATTGGCATCCCCGTGTTCCAGCAATCTTTCCCATGCAAACCGGCCCTTCAGAGGGTCTCAGCTTGGGGTCTGCAGTGGCCAGCAGCTCTTGAAAAGACGCATGCCTTTCCTTCCAGTGTGTGAAAGTGTCCTGACTTTCACCTCTTTGCAGACCATCTTCTGAGGTGAGCAACTGCCTGCAGGGCCTCCTAGTACCAAACCTACAGTGGCTTCCCCTGGCTTCGTTCCCAAGCAAAAGAATCAGTCAAGAATCACATGTTTGCTTATGGCTTACAAATAAAAACGCTGAATCAACCATGTGTATTATCTTCTCAAATCTCCAACCGAGGGGTGTCATGCTGTCTTCCCTGAGCGATGATGTGATTCTTGCTGACTTGGGTGTTTGAAAGCTTGAACTTGAGGAGCATTGCTCACTCTTCTCAATATGTCCCATATGCCACCGAATATGCTAGAGTTGACTCACCCAGTCGTCTATCAGTGTGATCGATTTCTGGACATGAAACGCTGGGTCATAACATATATATATATATGTGCGTGTGTGTGTATATATATATGTATATATATACACACTTTTTTTTTTTTTTTTTTTTTTGAGACAGGGTCTCACTTTGTCACCCAGGTTGCAGTGCAGTGGCAAGATCATGGCTCACTGCAGCCCCGACCTTCCAGGCTTAGGTGATCCTCCCACTTCATTCTCCCAAGTATCTGGGACTACAGGCATGTACCACCATGCACAGCTAGTTTTTGTATTTTCAGGAGAGACGGGGTCTTGCCATGTTGTCCAGGCCGATCTTGAACACCTGAGCTCAAGCAATCCACTCACCTTGGCCTTCCAAAGTGCTGGATTACAGGTGAGCCACTGCACCCAGCCGACTTCTACATATTTTAAACTGGCTAAATCGAATTTCTCTTTGAAGAGGTCGCGTGCTTCCTATCGCTGGGCATCTTTGCTGATCCTTTCTGAAAGCAAGTAAACTTAAGACCAGAAAAGTCCTGGGCAGGGGACAGGGGTGCTTGAAATATACACTATTCATGGTGTCTTTTCAGACGGCAAATCTCACTTCTAGCTCCATTAAATTTAACCAAGTCAGACTTAACCAGGTTCCTAGTGCATACCCTAGCTATGTGATCCATGTACTTCTACCACCTACCCCAATGCCTTCGGGCCTGGCTAAACAGAAAGGCTGTTTAGGAACCCGCAGCTCTCCACAAACCTCCTTGAAAGTGACACACAGCTTTTAGTAAGCAATGTTCTAGCAGTGGAAGAGACTGGTATAACAGAAAAACTTTAAGGCCAGGTGTGGTGGCTCATACCTGTAATCCCAGTGCTTTGGGAAGCTGAGGCAGGAGGATTGTTTGAGGCCAGGAGTTTGAGGGTGCAGTGAGCTATGATCAGGCCACTACATTCCCGTCTGTCAGACAGAGTGAGACCCTATCTAAAAAAAAAAAAAAAAAAAGAAAAAGAAAAAATGAAATTTGAGAACAACATGTGTCTATCTAGATCAGTTACCGAGTGGATGGTGAGCCTGCCAACTGGGGTTGGTAGTTGGGCAGCAGTGAAAGCTTAACCACTGCTAGCTCAGATCCTGAGTCAGGGGTGCAGGCTGTTCAGCCAGCGATACCAGGGAGGTTGCACTGTATTTGCACATAACTGACCTTCTGGTTGGATGCCAAGACAGGCCCTGAGGTAGGTAGCCTCTGTTTACAAGGTTTTTGTTTTTGTTTTTTTAATTAATGACTAAAAAAAATACTCAGTGTGCAACAGAAAAAAAGGCAAAGTGTTGCTCTGTCACTTCCATGGGGAAACAAGAGAAGCCCCAATCTGGTTCATATTGGTCAGGATAACACACCCCAGTGCTTTCTGGCAAGAGGGCAGTTCCCCTTTGCTGCATGGTGGTGATCAGGAGGATGTCAACCAATAACTTGACTCACAGCCACACCATGCACCACCTGCCGGTCGTGTGTCCACAGGAAGGAATGCAGGGCTTTTCAGATGTCAAAAACCAAGAATGGCTTGCTTTAAAAAAGCAAAACAGCCTGTTCTTGCCTCTTCCCTGCTCATGCTTAGCACGGTGGCTCTAGATACAGAACTCTGGCAGAAAGGAGCCAAATAAGAATTCCATTACCTTGTTCTACCCCCATCCTTAACAAGGGCTCCATTATACTTCAGGGTTTTCAAATTCGGTCCAGAATTCCTTCACCAAATGCCAGCTGCGGTCATTTCCTTGGGCGGGAGAAGCATAACAGAGGTAACGCGATCTGGGATCTGGACAGCCACAGTTCACATGAAATTAGAACAGGGCGGTTTGTATTTTGGAGACTGGCCTTGTCAAAAGTGTGGCCTTTGGGGCTTCTTTTGCTTGGGTTTTTCTGTTCTTTCATTACTTTCCCGTAGTTCTTAGTGGGTTCTAGCTAAGTGGTTGAAAACAAATTTGTCAAAGGATATATCTGTCATTCATTTTTATTCACCAATTTTGCATATGTTGGAATTTCATTTTCCCAGTGCAGGTTAAAGGTACAAGGAAAAAACAATGTTTTTGTGTGTTCCAGGAGAGATTTTACAATTTATTATCGTGTGCCTTTGTTTATTTAGATTTTTTAGAAGGAGGTGGTAAGTTTTGTGAGCCACAGAATGATTAAAAAAATTTTTTTAACTTATGTGGTTTTTATCAGTTACATTGAGTTGGGTTATTTTATTTCTAATTCATTTGCTGCCAATTATGTTCTAATTCTTTGGGAAGTTTTTCATAATTTAAAAGTTTTTCATAATTTAAAAGGCTGGGCGTGGTGAGCCACACCTGTAATCCCAGCACTTTCAGAGGCCGAGGTGGGAGCATCGCTTGAGCCCAGGAGTTTGAGACTGACCTGGGCAACATAGTGAGATTCCATCTCTACAAAAAAAATTAAAAATTAGTTGGGCATGGTGACACATGCCTGTAGTTCCAGCTACTCGGGAGACTGAGGTGGGAGGATTGCTTGAGCCCAGGAGGTTGAGGGTATAGTGAACTATGTGACACCACTGCACTCCAGACTGGGCAAGAGAGTAAGACCCTGTCTCTAAAAAAAAGTTGTCTCTAGCCTTGAAGGGATTTCTCTGAAAACAAATTGGTTAAATATAAATGTTCTAGTCTACAATTGAGAACTCTGATATACTCTGTGATCTTATAATGTTTAAAATTATAAATGTTTAAAAATGTTTTATTCACTTTCCACATTATCTTGGCTTTTTAAAATTAAAAATAGTCTAACAGGTACACGAGACTCCATCTCAAAAAAAAAATAGTCTAACAGGTAATACACACCCATGGTTTAACATTTTTTTTTTTTTTTTTATCTTTTCTTTTTTTTTTTTTTTTCTTTTTTTATTATTATTATTATACTTTAAGTTTTAGGGTACATGTGCACATTGTGCAGGTTAGTTACATATGTATACATGTGCCATGCTGGTGCGCTGCACCCACTAATGTGTCATCTAGCATTAGGTATATCTCCCAATGCTATCCCTCCCCCCTCCCCCGACCCCACCACAGTCCCCAGAGTGTGATATTCCCCTTCCTGTGTCCATGTGATCTCATTGTTCAATTCCCACCTATGAGTGAGAATATGCGGTGTTTGGTTTTTTGTTCTTGCGATAGTTTACTGAGAATGATGGTTTCCAATTTCATCCATGTCCCTACAAAGGACATGAACTCATCATTTTTTATGGCTGCATAGTATTCCATGGTGTATATGTGCCACATTTTCTTAATCCAGTCTATCATTGTTGGACATTTGGGTTGGTTCCAAGTCTTTGCTATTGTGAATAATGCCGCAATAAACATACGTGTGCATGTGTCTTTATAGCAGCATGATTTATAGTCATTTGGGTATATACCCAGTAATGGGATGGCTGGGTCAAATGGTATTTCTAGTTCTAGATCCCTGAGGAATCGCCACACTGACTTCCACAATGGTTGAACTAGTTTACAGTCCCACCAACAGTGTAAAAGTGTTCCTATTTCTCCACATCCTCTCCAGCACCTGTTGTTTCCTGACTTTTTAATGATTGCCATTCTAACTGGTGTGAGATGATATCTCATAGTGGTTTTGATTTGCATTTCTCTGATGGCCAGTGATGATGAGCATTTTTTCATGTGTTTTTTGGCTGCATAAATGTCTTCTTTTGAGAAGTGTCTGTTCATGTCCTTCGCCCACTTTTTGATGGGGTTGTTTGTTTTTTTCTTGTAAATTTGTTTGAGTTCATTGTAGATTCTGGATATTAGCCCTTTGTCAGATGAGTAGGTTGTGAAAATTTTCTCCCATGTTGTAGGTTGCCTGTTCACTCTGATGGTAGTTTCTTTTGCTGTGCAGAAGCTCTTTAGTTTAATTAGATCCCATTTGTCAATTTTGGCTTTTGTTGCCATTGCTTTTGGTGTTTTGGACATGAAGTCCTTGCCCACGCCTATGTCCTGAATGGTAATGCCTAGGTTTTCTTCTAGGGTTTTTATGGTTTTAGGTCTAACGTTTAAATCTTTAATCCATCTTGAATTGATTTTTGTATAAGGTGTAAGGAAGGGATCCAGTTTCAGCTTTCTACATATGGCTAGCCAGTTTTCCCAGCACCATTTATTAAATAGGGAATCCTTTCCCCATTGCTTGTTTTTCTCAGGTTTGTCAAAGATCAGATAGTTGTAGATATGCGGCATAAAAATATGGAACGCTTCACGAATTTGCGTGTCATCCTTGCGCAGGGGCCATGCTAATCTTCTCTGTATCGTTCCAATTTTAGTATATGTGCTGCCGAAGCGAGCACCCCATGGTTTAACATTTTTAAAGAACAGAAAGGAATACGCAGAAAGGTAGTCCCTCCTGGGTCTCCTGAAAGAAACCATTATCACCATTGTCTTGAGTTTCCTTTGAGTGATCTGTATACATCTAAGTATATAAACTTTTTTCTATTTATTATTTATTTATTTTTCCGCCAGGAACACTGTGCTGACCATTTTTATTTTTTTTAAAAAACTTTAGAATTTATTTTTGACCAGTGATATGTTTTTGGGCAGGAGTGCAAGCTCAGCCTGCTGCTAGCTCAGATCCTGCGTCAGCCCTGAAGGCTGTTCAGCCAGCGACACCAGGAAGGTTGCGCTGTATTCACACAAAACTGTCCTCCTGGTTGGATGCCATGCTTTGTTTAATACCAGTTGGTTTACCTATTAAACCAACTTTCTACCACGAATAAAAATCTGTATAGTTAATTTACAGTTAAGCAGTTTTTGTAAAACTTTCCAAAAAAAAAAAAAAAACTTCCTACAGGAATGGCAGTGTTTGAAGATGTGTTTGAAAAGAACCCTGATTTCACATGCAAACAAAGGTGAACATTTTTCTAGATAATGTCTCATTAGTTTAGACACTCTAATAATACTTTTGAGTCTCAAATAACACACTAGTGAGTCTGGATCATTTAGTGTGTAAACCCCCAAGTTAAAGACTTGCAGAATTAAAAATGATGATCCCATTCCTCCGAGGCACCGAGGTCTGGAGTACTAACTTACGATTTTATTAGGTCATGTTCTAAATTGTAATTTTTCATGCACTCAGTACGGAACAGAAGGGCACTGAGGGGCAAGATACTCTATATTTATGTTTTGTGTTATATTCCTCTGTCCTTTAAACATTTTAAACCATGTGTATTCAAACTATTTTTAATTACAAAAGCCACGATAATATGGAAAGTGCCAAAACTTTTTAAAAAGTGTTAGTATAGGCCGGGCGCGGTGGCTCACGCCTGTAATCCCAGCACTTTGGGAGGCCGAGGCGGGTGGATCATGAGGTCAGGAGATCGAGACCATCCTGGCTAACAAGGTGAAACCCCGTCTCTACTAAAAATACAAAAAACTAGCCGGGCACAGTGGCGGGCGCCTGTAGTCCCAGCTACTCGGGAGGCTGAGGCAGGAGAATGGCGTGAACCCGGGAAGCGGAGCTTGCAGTGAGCCGAGATTGCGCCACTGCAGTCCGCAGTCCGGCCTGGGCGACAGAGCGAGACTCCGTCTCAAAAAAAAAAAAAGTGTTAGTACATTGTAAGATCACAGAGTATATCAAAACCATCAGTTGTAGACTAGAATATTCATATTTAACAAATTTGCTTATGGACAAATCCCTCAACTGCTAGAGACAGAACTTTTAAACTAAAGTGATTTACACAATTAGAATGGTATCCTGAAATCATTACTGAAAAAATAGTGTAGCATGTCCTTTAGAAAGTCACTACAGATGTGGCCGGGGTGTGGTGGCTCACACCTGTAATCCCAACACTCTGGGGGCCGAGGCAGGTGGATCACCTGAGGTCGGGAGTTCCAGACCAGTCTGACTAACACGGTGAAACACAGTCTCTACTAAAAACACAAAAATTAGCTGGGAGTGTCAGTGGGTGTCTGTAATCCCAGCTACTCGGGAGGCTGAGGTAAGAGAATCACTTGAACCTGGGAGGCAGAGGTTGTAGTGAGCTGAAATCGCGCCACTGCACTCCAGCCTGGGTGACAGAGCAAGACTCCATCTAAAAATAAAAGAATAAATAAAAAAAGTCATAAAAATAAGACTTGAAAGTCGAAATGACTTCTCGATCCATGGGTTGCAGAATGGAGGTTGTGTTAGCAGGCATGAAAACATTAATCTCTTTGTACATCTCTGTCAGAGCTCTTGGATGACCAGGTGTATTGTCAACAAGCAGTCATATTTTGAAAGGAATCTTTTTCTGAGCAAGAGGTCTCTACAGTGGGCTTAATGTATTCCATAAACCATGCTGTAGATAGATGTGCTCCAATCCAGGCTTTACTTTTCCATTTATAGAGCACAGAGTAGATTTAGCGTAAATCTTCTTACGGGTTCTAGGATTTGGGGAATAATAAATGAGAATTGACTTCAACTTATAGTCACCAGTGGTCTTAGTCTCTAACAGAAGAGTCAGCCTGTCCTTTGAAAACAGGCATTGACTTCTTTTTAGCTATCAAAGTCCTAGATGGCATCTTCTTCCAACAGAAGGCTGTTTTGTATACATTAAAAATCCGTTTAGTGGGCCAGGCACCCAGCATTTTGGGAGGCCGAGGCAGGTGGAACGCCTGAGGTCAGGAGTTTGAGACCATCCTGGCCAACATGGTGAAACCCCATCCCTACTAAAAATACAAAAGATTAGCCGGGCGTGGTGGTGTGCACCTGTAGTCCCAGCCACTTGGGAGGCTGAGGCAGGAGAATCACTTGAGCCTGGGAGGCAGGGGTTGCACACAGCTGAGATTGCACCACTCAGCACTCTAGCCTGGGTGACAGAGCAAGACTCAGTCTCAAAATAAATAAATAAATGTTTGCTGTAGCCACCATGATCAATAATCTTAGATAGATCTTCTGAATAATTTGCTGCAGCTTCTATATTACACTTACTGTTCACCTTGCACTTTTATATTATGGGGACAGCATCTTCATCAAATCTCATGAACCAACCTCTGCTAGCGTCCAACTTTTCTTCTGTAGCTTCCTCACCTCTCTTAGCCTTCACAGAATTGAAGAAAGTTAGGGCCTTGTTTTCCACTCAAATCATCAAAACTTTCTCCATATGAGCAATAAGACTGTTTGACTTTCTGATCATTTGTGAGTTCACTAGAATAACTTTTAATTTCCTTCAAGAACTTTTCCTTTGCATTCACAACTTGGCTAACTGGTACAAGAGGTGTGGCTTTCAGCCTATCTCAGCTTTCAGTGTGCCTTCCTGACCACACTTAATCACTTTCAGATTTTGATTTAAAGTGAGAGATGCAGGACTCTCTCACTTGAACACCTAGAGGCCATTGTAGGGTTATTAATTGGACTAATTTCAATATTGTTGTGTCTCAGGCAATAGGGAGATAGGAGGAGGGGAGAGAAATGGGGGAATGGTTGGTTGATGGAACAGTCAGCACACACACTTATCGATTCAGTTTGCTACTTATATGGGCACAGTTCCTGGCACCCCAAAACAATTACAATAGTAACATCAAAGATCATTGATCACAGATCACCATAACAGATATAATAATAATGAAAAAGTTTGAAACATTGTGAAAATTACCAGTATGTGACAGCTACACAATGTGAGCACATGTTGCTGGGAAAATGGTGCCAACAGGCTTGCTTGATGCAGGGTTAAAAATCACAGTATCTGCAAAGTCCAAAAAAAGGAGGTATTCCTATTCCCAAATTACAGAAAAACATGTTACAGTTTACCAAAAAAGACATCAAATGGTCAATAGCACGTGAAAAGATACTCAATACTATTGGTCATCAGGGAAATGCAAATTAAAATCACAATGAGATTCTACTACACATCTATCTGTAGGAGATCAGTCAGAGTGGTGGGAGAAACTACAGGGAAAGAAACAGGCTTTCGGAAAGGTCAGAAGGCTCTGCAAAGCTTTGGGGGAGAATAGCTGAAGGCAGCTGTTCTCTAACCCTAAGGCAGAGGGCAAGGAGTAGGTACAAGGGAGTGTAGGGGAATTTATCTTAAACAGGCTTGTTTACTTATGTTGACCACCTTTGATCAGGCGCACAAACGTTCCTTGAAAGGGGAACAGTAAATGCTAATTACCTGCAGACTGTGTTTGCTCCAGGCTTTCTGCATTATGCCTGCACTGAATAAAAGCAAGCAGCTCCAGCTTCTTGCTGCTGCACTTTGGCCCCTAGAGCCGCACAGCCCCCTAGCTGCTCTTATACTGCATACCTGTGTCTGAGTACTCCTTTCATCCATCGCTCAGCCTGGGTCTGTCCCACAGACCCTATCAGCGTGGCTAAAATGAAAAAGGTATTGGTGAGGAAGTTGGGTAAATGGAACTCTCGTACATTACTAGTTAGTGCGAAAAATGGTACAACCATGTTGGAAAATAGTTTGGCAGTTTCTTACAAAGCTAACATATACTTAACACATAACCTAGAAATTCCATTCCTAGGTATTTACCCAAGAGAAACAAAAACATAGCCACAGAAAGACTTATACCTGAATATTTATAGCAGCTTTATTCAGGACACCCCCAAACTGGAAATCCAACCCAAATGCCCACCAACAGGTGAATAAATTCTGGGGCATATTCATACAACACAATAAACCATGGATCCATGCAACATGAATTGCCAAATATTATGCCCAGTGAAAGAAGCCAAAGTGTGTCCTGTATGACTGTGTATATGAAATTCTAGGAAAGACAAATCTACACAATAGTGACAGAAAATAGATGCCTGATGGGTTGGGGCTGGGGCTGGGAAGAGGTACAGGCCTTTTGGGATGATGGCAGTGTCTCGTATCTTGCTTGTGGTGTGGCTACACAGATGTATACATTTGTCTAAATGCAGCTGACTGCACACCTAAGATATGCGCCTTTTACTGTAAGAAATTTATACTTTAACACAGTTGATTTTAAAAATATCACTATACACGTGCCTGTAATCCCAGCTACTAGGGGGGATGAGGCAGGAGGATTGCTTGAACCTGGGAGGCGGAGGTTGCAGTGAACCGAGATCACACCACTGCACTCCAGCCTGGGCAACAGAGTGAGACTCCGAAAAAACCAAAAACCTACCATAGAAGTCTTGGTCAAGCAACATTCCCACAGATTTGGTTCCAATTCTGTTTCAGATCTTATTTCCAAATTACTTAGCCAACTTACAGGTGTGCATTACCATGCCCAGCTAATTTTTGCATGTTTAGTAGAGACGGGGTTTCACCACGTTGGCCAGGCTGGTCTCCAGTTCCTGACCTCAGGTGATCCACCCGCCTTAGCCTCCCAAAGTGCTGGGATTACAGGCATGAGCCACCACGCCCAGCCAGATTTCACCCATCATTCTTGAAAGCTGTATTATTTCCAAATCTCTAGCCATGGGATCAGAGAAGTCTATTTTACACCTAATGGGTTGCTACTAGAGATATACTTACGCACATAGATTTGTGCTCCAGATTTTCTAAAATGTCATTAGGTATGATTTCACCTGCTACAAACATCAAGCTTTACTTCTGTCATCACCAGTTTCTACACAGAAACCCAATCCATGCGATCTCTTCCTGTCAAGTTTGTTATCCATCAGTCCGCCTGAAGCTTTGAATGTTGAAGTTCCCTTTGGGGAAAATTCCACACCCATTATTCAGAAGTTCCTCATTTGCTATTCAGGATGGTTGGTATCTAAAATACTTCAGATTTCCTTTTGATGTTTGGAAAGGGAAAATTTATTTTAACGAAACTCGAGACAAAGATGATTTTCTTTAGAAAGCCATTTATTTCCTCTAAACAGAAAAAGGCACAGTAAAAAGAAAAAAAAAATCTATTGTGAAGATTATTAACTTTAGATCAACCAGGTTCTCCTTGAAGGACACGGTTGTTTTTGTTTGCTAGTTCAGATCACTGTGTACTTACCTGTTCCAGTGGCCTGTGATTACACATTTAATCCCTACGCTACCAATGACAGGTTAAGAAAAATAAAACACATATGTTGGATTTGCATGAAAGCATTTCATAAAGGTTGATAAGGAAGGTAGGATTAGGCTGGGCACAGTGGCTCATGCCTGTAATCCCAGCACTTTGGGAGGCTGAGGCAGGTGGATCACTTGAGGCCAGGAGTTTGAGACCAGCCTGGGCAACATGGTGAAACCCCTTCTCTACTAAAAATACAAAAATTAGCCAGGCACGGTGGCGCCCACCTGTAATCCCAGCTGCTCGGGAGGCTGAAGTGGGAGGATTGCTTGAGCCCACGAGGTGGAGGTTGCAGTGAGCCAAGATTGCGCCACTGCACTCCAGCCTGGGTGACAGAGCAAGACTCTGTCTCAAAAAAATAAGTAAAATAAAATAACAAGTTTCCCTACCCCACCCCTACCGACCGCGTCTCATCCCCAAATATGCTAAGAAAGCACATGCACAGAGCACCTCAAAGCAAAGTCCCCCAAGATTGAGCAAAACTAAGAAGTGACAATTATGTTTTAAATTTATTTTAAAAGTTAAAATCAAATTGTAAAAAGGCATCCAGATACAGCTCACCCTCAGCCTTTACAAGCATATTATACAACTTATATAACAATATACACGTGAATACTGACTGCAATGATACCCTCTGTTCAAACAAGAACATTGTTTTTCCCATAAGAAAGGGATTGCTCAGACACCAACCTGGTGTTCAAGTTCTGTTGTGACCTATTTCATACACATAGCTGTTTTAAGTTAATGAGATAAATAAATCTACCCTAAATGAGCCATTAAAAACATCAGTTTCAAGTGCTTTCTGGTTCTTATTAATAAATACTTTATTCTTTTCTTTGTTAGAAAAAATTAAAAAGAAAAGCAACCTTCTATAAAGTAGAAGTATACTCCTAAAAGAATAGTTATTAGGACATAACCTTAGGAGGAACACAAGTTAGATACAGCACCTTCCACCCAATTAGAGCAGAATTTTATGAAATCTAAGGCATGTAAATTTTATTTCTAGCTTTTGAAAACCTAAATCAACCATCTCCCACAACAACCTCCCAAAAGTGTTATGTCCCTAACATAATAACATCTTAGGGGAAACCTAAATTACTTTTAGCTACAGCTCAAGCTTCAATACAATAATTCAACCAATTTACCCAATCTTTAGCTAGTATCAACATTCACTTAGGTCAAATGATATTTGGAAAACCAGGTTGCCCAGATGGAAGAATCTCCTGAATGAAACCTTTGCTGTGGTAATTTGCATAGGGGTTGACCTTTCATTTTTTTTTTTTTTTTGGAAACAGAGGTGGGTGGATTGCTAGTGCTCAGGAGTTTGAGACCAGCCTGAGCAACATGGCAAAACCCCATCTCTACAAAAAATGCAAAAATTAGCTGGGCTTGGTCACGCACGCCTGTAGTCCTAGCTATTTGGGAGACTGAGGTGGGAGGACTGCTTGAGCCCAGGGAAGCCAAGGCTGCAGTGTGCCGCGATCGCACTACTGCACTCCAGCCAGGGTGACATAGTGAGACCCTGTCATAAAAAATAAAAAAATTAAAAAAAAAATAATATGAGATTTTACATATTTCTATCACAGGGCTCCACAATAATGTAAGAGCAGACACCTTCTTTCTCTCTATATATATAAACTGAAATGCAAAGTGATTCAGTGGCTTGATCAATTTCAAAGAGTAAAACAGAGATAACAGAATTGAATGAAGAAATCTGGCTTTTAATGTCCGTACATCAAGACTATGTGATCATCATTATCTAGATGGGAAAGTTTTATTATTTGTAGAAATCCAGTGCTAAAAAATACATTTCAGGATCACTTAGTCCAATCTTCCTGATTTTACAGATGAGAAAACTGAAGCCCAGAAGTTAAGCTACTTACCTGGAGTGAGAATTAAGCCAAATTCTTTTGCCTCTGGGTGTTCGTATAAACACTAGAATTTTGTTATGATAAAGAAGTGAACACTCTATAACCAAAAGATACAGAAACATAGCTCTCTGTTTACCTTCCAATTTTTGGGCAAAAACTTCAGTGAATGAAGTAATGCAATCATCCACACTGAGCTTAGAAAAGACAATGATAACTTGGTTTTCCACTTAAATGTCAATGTTAAATGTGGTATCAAACCAACCCAATGGCAGAAAGTAAGCAGGCAAAGCTTATGGGCTTAACAAGCATTTGTTTTTGACGGCGTCAATCAGGAATCAATGGACAATACACAGCCAATCCTTTGCTTTCCAGAGTCACAGGAGGCCAGGAAGTCTGTGGGAAAATGTCTGAAGTTCGGGTTATTTAAGGCTGTTCAGAAATTTAGCATGTTCTTCTCCTCTTGGTAACAGAGTTTCTCCTCCTATCTTTGGACCAGTCTTTTCCTAGAAAAATGAAAATATTTTAATAGGAGATGGTTCCACATTATTAGCATGGGTCACTAAAAGGAGTCAAAAATTAGTACGCAAATGGCATACCTTTAGCATTCCGTCCCGTTCCCATTTGTAGAGGCCACAGTTACTGAAACAGAACAGATGGATTTACTCAGCAGGGTGGTGTAGGCCCACTCATGTAAAGACGACGGTGCTCACTGCACCTGGGGAGAGTAGGCCCCCATTCAAGGAGAAGCTGTTCAAGGTGACATTCGTATTGTATGCCAAATCTGAGGTTATGCTCAAATGCGACAAAAATAAACCTGCAATGACTTGGGAAGTGGTCTGTAGGTCCTTACAAAGCTAGAGGCTTCAGAGATGGAGCTTCAAATGATAATGATGGCACCACAGGGATCCACGCACTGCAGGTAATGAATGCACCCTTGGTTTTTACAAATGATGGTGGTTGGGATGAGACTCAGATTTAAGGAGCTGGCCCTCTGGTGCAGGATAATCTATGTTTGGCCCCTTCCTCCTCTTTTTTTTGGAGCAAAAAGGTTGAGCTAAGAAAGGAATAATCTTCTTTCTAGTCTGGATCATCCTTCTCCCTTTCTCTTTATAACCCAAAAGCCTTTACTCACTTTCTTTTCTTTTCCTTTTTTTTTTTTTTTTGGAGAGATGGGATTTTGCTATGTTGCCCACGCTGGCCTCAAACTCCTGGGCACAAGTGATCTGCCTGCCTCAGCCTCCCAAAGTGCTGGGATTACGGGCGTGAGCCACTGTGCCCAGCCTCTTTACTCTCTTTTTATTCAAAGGGCCCAGGGACTCTTGTTTTGTTTTTATTTTTTTTTAGAGACAGGGTTCACTCTGTGGCCCAGGCTGGAGTGCAGTAGTGCGATCACAGCTCACTGCAGCAGCCTTGATCTTCAGGGATCAAGTGATCCTCCTGCCTCAGCCTCTTGAGTAGCTGGGACCAAAGGTGTACACCACCATGCCCAGCTCATTTTTAAATTTCTGTAGAGATGGGGAGTCTCACTATGTTGCCCAGGCTGGTCTTGAACTCCTGGGCTCAAGTGTTCCATCTGCCTCAGCCTCCCAAACTGCTGGAATTACAGGCATGAGCCACCAAGTCCAGCCCTTCTTGCTCTAGTTTTTAAAATGGTGGGTGACTTCCACCCTGAGAAGGGATGTGAACACTATGGTGAAAACTTATTTCCTATGAAGTTTACTCTGGGAAAAAGAGAGAGAAAGAGAGAAGACATATAATAAAGCTAAGGAAGTATGTCTGCCTGCTTACTTGGATTTCAGAGGGTTGGGGTGGGGTGGGGATGCTCTGCCTGTCTCCCCTTCCCCTTACCTAGCTTAGAGTCTACTCGTTCTCATTAGTCTGTTCTCATGCTGCTAGTAAAGACATACCCAAGACTGGGTAATTTATAAAGGAAAGAAGTTTAATGGACTCAGTTCCACATGGCTGGGGAGGCCTCACAATCATGGTGGAAGACGAAGGAAGAGCAAAGGCATGTCTTACATGGCGGCAGGCAAGACAGTGTGTGCAGGGAACTCTCCTTTATAAAACCATCAGATCTCATGAGACTTATTTGTTTTCATGAGAACAGCCCGGGAAAGACCTGCCCCATGATTCAATTACCTCCCACTGAGTCCCTCTCTCAACTTGTGGGAATTATGGGAGCTACCATTCAAGATGAGATCTGGGTGGGGACACAGCCAAACCATATCACAATTTCTGCCCTGAAAGGTGGCACGCCAGTGGCCTTAGCCCTTACAACCTCCCAACCATCACCTTCCACCTCTAGAGACTGGTTCAGTATCAATGAAGAGAACTCTGGTAGCCTATATGTCGATCAATGATAAAATTGTGAGAAAAAAAAAATCACTATTCTAGTTAGGAGTCAGCAAACTACAACCCCAATCCAGCACATCACCAGTTTTTATAAATAAAGTTTTATTTGAACACAGCCGTGCCCAGTTGCCTGTGTATTATCTATGGTTGCTTTCAGGCTGCACCAGCAGAGCCGTGTGGTTGTGACAGATCATCTGGCCCACAAAGCCTAATATATTCACCACTGACATTTTACAGGCAATGTGTGCTGCCTTCTGTTCTAGATCAAGAACTAGCCAAGCATGGTGGCTCAGGCCTGCAATCCCAGCACTTTGGGCAGCTGAGCCCACTTGAGCCCAGGAGTTTGAAACCAGCCTGGACAACATAGTGAGACCTTGTCTCTATAAAAAAAAGTAAATTAAAAAAATTAGCTGGGTGTAGTGGTGCACACCTGTAGTCCCAGCTACTCAGGAGGCAGAAGCAGAAGGATCGCTTGAGCCCATGAGTTCAAGGCTGCAATGGGCTATGATCATGGCACTGCACTCCTGCCTGGATGACAGAGTGAGACCCTGTCTCAAAAAAAGAAGGAAAAAAAAAAAAGCAACTGACAAAAAGTCCAGAAAAAACATGGTTCTTACAATCACAGTGCCATCTGGAGGCTGAAAGGCATCATGCCCTTCCATTTGTGCCCTGTACTTAATAAACAGAATTTTTTTTAATTTTTCTAACGTTTTCCATAAGCTCTTGCTATAATGACATTTTTAGTCATCTAGTTTGGAAAAAAGTCAAGTATCAATATATAAATAACTACTTAAAAATTATAATCTAGATTGTGAAAAATTGGCAAGCCAGCTCCTGGTAAAGTGATGAACTAGCCCGGCTTCCTGGCTCCCTCCCTCAGATCTCTGGATCGACCCTGGAGAATCTGAAGTGAGAGTGAAGTATGAACTCCAGGAAGTGAACAACAAATGAAAATAAGCAAGCACACCAAAAGGCAGTGATACTATCCCAGTGAGAGCTCTTGACAAGAATAAGAACTCATTGTGGTGAAAGCACTGAGGGGCTGAGGCCAGGGGACCTGTGTGGGGAGGGTATAGGGTGCCCGTGGGCGAAATGTGATGGGTGCTGCCTTGGGCACTGTCATCAGTTAGGAAGCCGAGGAACATAGCGAGCACAGACGCATCCTACAAACACAGAGCCGAGTGAGAAACAAAATCAAATGAGACAGAATTCTGTACCACCTATGTGAAATAAAAACGGCTGCAGAGCAAGCAGTACACGTTCACAAGAAAATTAACAAGAGGATCACAGCAACCATTGGAGAATGGCAGAGGATGGTGCGAAGGGATAGGATGGAGGGAGAATGGGTAAGAAGAGCACGTGAATGAAACAGGGAGGGCACTGGATGGACCTGCGACGGCAACATGCTGCACCAGGGAGGGTTCCTTAACCCAGCTCCAGAGGTGCCATCGTCGTATTCTATGTGAAGGATGTTCCTTGACTGTCAAACACGGCAGCTCTGCCTCCGTATCTGATGTTGCCCCCAAAAGTAAAAAGAGAAACAAAAGACACTTACAACACACACAGTCAGCCTACCACACCTGTGGGTTCAAGCATCCCATCCGTGGGTCCAAAGTATTCGGAAAAACACTCATCATCAGAGTTATCATCTTATACCAGTAAGAATGGCTATTATTAAAAAGGCAAAAAATAACCAGATGCTGGCGTGGATGTGGTGAAAAGGGAATGCTCACACTGGTGGGAATGCAAATTAGCACAACCTCATATAGAAAACATATGAAGATTTCTCAAAGAACTAAAAATAAAACTACCATTCAATCCAGCAATCCCACTACTGGGTATCTACCCAAAGAACAAGAAATCAGTACACTGATTTCTGCACATGTATGTTTATCACAGTAATAGTCAAAATAGCAAAGACGTGGAATCAACCTAAATGCCCATCAAGAGATGACTGGATAAAGAAAATGTGGTACATAAACACAATGGAATACTGCTCAGCCATATCAAAGAATGAAGTCATGTCTTTTACAGCAACATGGATGGAACTGGAGGCCATTATCCTAAGTGAAAAAACTCAGAAACAGAAAGCCAAATACTGCATGTACCCACTTACAAATGGAAGCTAACATGTGTATGCAAGGACACAGAAGGCGGAATAATAGACACCGAAGGGTGGGAGGGGGCGAGGGAGGAGAAATTACTTAATGGGTACAATGTACATTATTTCAGGTGATGGCTACACTAAAAGCCCCGACTTTACTATTACACAAACTATCCAGGTAACAAAATTGCACTTGTGCCCCTTAAATTTATACAAATTAATATATATATATATATATATATATATATATATATATATATATATATATATACATACATACATACATACATGAGAAGCACAATAAAAAATACAATAAAAAACAATATAACAACTATTTGCAGCACTTACATTGTATTAGGTATTATAAGTAATCTAGAGATGATTTAAAGTATATGGAAGGATGTGTGCATGTTATATGCAAATATGACACTATTTTATATCAGAGACTTGAGCATCCACAGATTTTGGTATCCTGTGGGGAAGAGTGCTGTCCTGGGACCAATGCCCCTTGGATACTGAAGAACAGCAGAGTCCTCACAAGCTAAAGACATTTAAAATGATCAAATAACTCTTTGGAGAGAGGAAAAAAATATTATGTGCATCCTAGCCCCCAACAAACACACACATGTTTACCACCTCACCCTATGATTCTTCACTTATTTATTCAACAAACACTTCTGAGGACCCCTTATGGGCCAGGCACTATATTAGGTGTTGGGGACAGCAGTGAAAGGGCAGGGTCCCTTCCTTCCAGGGATTTCAGTTAACAGCTTGAGTCCCAAGGGTAGCCTGGAGCTATAGGAAGGCATGGAATGATCATCCAACGTTCCAAGGGAACAGAATCACAGACTCTGGAAAAAGAGATGAAAATCCCCACGTGGGACAAAGAGCTCCAGGTGATTCTCATACCTGCAGTGCTTGTTCGGGAGTCTGTCCAAGGAGATGCTTCTGTTTCCACAGGGACATTTGAAAAACCTCTTCACACCATCATGCCAGTGGTATTCATGCTGCTCACTGACGCAGGTCTCCAGCAGCTTGAAGTGGGTATAGGCGCACTGCACAGAGCAACAAAAAACCCACACCGCCGGTGAAGAGCCTTTGAGGACAAATGCTCAGCTGCAGTAAGGGCAATCTGCTCCATGACCACCTGGTCTCTCATCACTACCTGGGCCCTTGCTAGGGGACTGGGCCACCTTCGCCTCTTGCTACAGTGACCCGTGTGATTGCCCGACTCCCTCACACTGATACCACCGTTTCTCACGTTTGTCCCAATTTCTGATCAGGCACAAAGTACACAATAACTTTCTGTTATTGTGTAACACGTTCCATGATGACAACAGCAAGGGCAGGAGAGGAAACGTACTGTAAACCCCTAAATAGCTTCGGTCAGTCTGTGCTAGAGTCATTACGGCCCCTTGCTTATATAGGATGCTGAGGCTTGGGATCTATTTAGACTGATCAGCAGCTCTTTCATTCTCTTCTATGATCTATAAAAAGGATATAGGCTTATTCTTACTCCCTATTAGCAGCAAAGCCAAGACAGAGAGATTGAGGAATTCACTTTTAATTCCGATCCTCAGAAGGACCGAGGAGAATGAGAAGGGGTGGGTGAGTAGCAAAACATGTGCAGTAGAGAGCGATGTAACTTCCGGGAATTACACTGAGCTTGATCAATAACTCGACACTTGGACAACCTCAGAAAGTGCAGAGCAGAGTGGTGAGCCCAAGGCTGGCATGACGATGGCCCTCTAAAAAACGTGCACACCCTACTCCCCGAAACTGTGAGTGTGTGATGGTCCAGAGGGAAGGGGAATCGAGGCTGCAGGTGAAATTCAGGTTGCTAATGGATAGGGAGATTGTCCTAGATGATCTGGGTGGGCCCAATGGAATCACAAGGACCCTTAAACGTGGAAGAGGAGCTCAGGGCTGCAAGGTGAGAGCTCAACCTGCTGCCGCTGGCTGCATGGAGGAAGTGAGGGCAGGCAAGAATACTGTGACTCAGAAGCTGGGCCAGGAGATGATTCTCCCCTACTGCAGCCCCGTCTGCAGGAAACCTGGCCCTGGCTACACCCTGATTGTAGCCCTACAGACTTCTGACCTACATAAGAGATAATAAATGTACACTGTGAGGCCAGGCATGGTGGCTCATGCCTGTAATCCCAGCGCTTTGGGAGGCCAAGGCAGGCAGATCATCTGAAGTCAGGAGTTCCAGACCAGCATGTCCAACATAGTGAAACCCCATCTCTATTAAAAATACAAAAATTTGCCAGGCAGTGTGGTGCGTGCCTGTAATCCCAGCTACTCGGGAGGCTGAGACACGAGAATCGCTTGAACCAGGGAGGCAGAGGTTGCAGTGAGCCGAGACTGTGCCACTGCACTCCAACCTGGGCGACAGAGTGAGACTCTGTCTCCAAAAATAAATAAATAAATACATAATAAAATAACAATAAATGTGCATTGTGTTAGGCCACCTCATCTGTGATCATTGTTACGGTGGCAACAGGAGACAAACCCACTAAGTCCGCCTGCAGGTCCACCGCTGTGTCAGAGTAAGAGCTGTCATCTAGGGTGAAATGCAATGGTGGGTTTGTGTTTCCTGTCTTCCAAAGACACATAATCTTCCAAAGATTACGTTTAAAAGAATCATCTTTACTTATGCCCCAAGACAGAAACTTTCTCAAGGAAGCCCTACTTTTGGTGGTAGCTGATTTGGAGCTGACCCCCAAATGCATAGGAGAGCTAAAGTGTTAAAAGGAATAAGACAGAGAAAAGTGCACTTGGTAAGCTATGCCACTTCCACCTCTTCTGCATGTTTATTAAGTAGGCTGATTTGCCACACAGGGATAGTGGGAACAAATGGTAATGGAAGGAACAGTGTTCAGCAAGAGCTTTCTTCTTTCTTGTCTTTTTTCTTTTTGAGATAGGATCTCGCTGTGTTGCCCAGGCTAGGGTGCAGTGGCGTGATCATAGCTCACTGCAGCTTTGGATTCCTGGGCTCAAGTGATCCTCCTGCCTCAGCCTCCCAAGTAGCTGGAGCCACAGGTGTGCACCACCACACCGGCTAATTTTTTATTTTTTGTTGAGATGGGGTCTCACGATGTTGCCCGGGTTGGTCTCAAATTCCTGGCCTTAAGTGATCCTCCTGCCTTGACATCCAAAAGTGCTGGGATTCCAGGCATGAGCCATCACACCCAGCCCTTTCTTCCCATTTTTAATCAGTGTTGAAGAATAGAGGACTTAGAATTTTCTAACAGATTTATGATAAAAATTCTGCAAACACAGATGATGATCTAATCCACACTCTGGCTTGAGACTCAACAGAGCAGATTGAGCCAGGAGTAGGAAAGCAGTGGTGGATCATAACAGGAGAGGCCAGGGGGTTCAACCACGGTCCCAAGGCCTGAGAACGCTGAGCGAGGATACGCCAAAACCTGAGAAAGAGCAGTCAGAGCCACGCGGACCCAGTGGTCCAGGGCAAGAGATGTTAGGACCCATCCAAACTGGGGGCTGTGGTCAAATGAGAGAAGAATCCCCTCGACAAACACTCCATCAGCAGAGCACAGCAGCCAGGTCAGGCAGGAAGCCGGGTCCTGGGCCACCTGCGCCCTTTGCTTTCCAGCCTAATTAACTGACACATCACGAGATAGGGCCCCAGATCCCACAGGTTCTCCACATGCTGCCGAGTCACAAAAGCACCACACAGGGCCCATGGGTTGCTGCAGCCCCCACCTTCACCCACCGTCTTGCATGTCACGACACGGCACTTCACTTCTCTGATGTTTCTCATCTTTTCTTCCATTTGTTCTTTTTTCACCAGTGGCTCAAAGTAGCGCTCCTGCATCTCAGCCTCGGCCTGGAATGACAGGGCATAATGAAAGACCTGGTACTAAATCCAGTATGCACTCAGGCAGCACAGTAAGAGTAACTCGATGATTATTCAAATGACTCAGCTGATAATAATCAAAACAGAACAGAATGGAAGAGGCAGGCTAAGTGTGAGAGGGCCCTGGACAGCACCTCATGAGCTGCAAAGCAAAAGATGATGATGCATAGAAACGAGCTCTTAATATGCAAAAACAAAGGGACATGAGAGCATTTGGTGATTTTTATTTTTATTTTATTTTATTTTTGAGATGGAGTCTCGCTGTAACCTAGGCTAGAGTGCAGTGGTGCAATCTCTACCTTACTGCAACCTCTACCTCCTGGGTTCAAGTGATTCTCCTGCACCAGCCTCCTGAGTAGTAGGGACTACAGGTGCCCGCCACATGCCCAGCTAAATTTTTGGATTTTCAGTAGAGATGGGGTTTCACCCTGTTGGCTAGGCTGGTCTCAAACACCTGACCTCAGGTGATCTGCCTGCCTTGGCCTCCCAAAGTGCTAGGATTACAGGCATGAGCCACCGCACCTGGCCCATTTGGTGACTTTTAAAGCACCAAATACAAATAAACACTCCTAACATGACAGTATCAGTATGTCAAGTGTGTGCCCAAAGGCAGTTATTTCTACTGTTCTAATACAGACTCCACATACACAAGGTATTCCAGGCCCCCACTGGTGAGTTTCCTGGGTGCACGGGACATCAGGGAACAGCCCTGAGGGCAGAGATGCTTGTGGCAGAATGTGGGTGCAGCGATGGGATTAGTGCTGCTCCACAGACAGGAGGGCCTGGGGCCAAGGGTTCCACAGAGGCGAGGAGCTCAGCTCTGCAGCCTGCAGTCAGCTCTGGCATCTCTCCTGAGTTTCAAGTCCAGTGAAAAGATATGATGCAGAACTGTCTCATTAGTTATTTGTTAATCAAAGGAAGAACAGATCATTCAGAGTAGTGATACTGAATGGGGATATTTTGAAAATTGGTGGGAGCACTTTCCTTTTCATTGCAATGATTGCTACCTCTGTGGCTGGCAGGGACCGGGGTGCTGCACTGTCTGCAATGCATGTGACAGTCACCGACACAACCAAGGATTGCTTCTCATCCTGCCTGGCTTCTGTGTGCTCTATGAGACATCTGTGTGGATGGGGAACCTGATTAAACCCTAGAATCTAACTGCTTTCTACACAACCCTACAATATTTGTGCATGGTTTTAACCTATGTTGACCATTCCAAGAGTAAAACTAGATAAACCCTGTCTCTAAAAAAAAAAATTAGCCAGTCATGGTGATGCGCCTGTAGTCCCAGCTACTTGGGAGGCTGAGGTGGGAACATCACTTGAGCCCAGGAGTTCGAGGCTGCAGTGAGCCCTGATGGGGGACAGAAAAAGACCTTGTCTCAAAAAAAACAAAACCTCCCCAACCCCCACCAAAAGTACATTATCTAGCCCTAGCTACTCAGGAGGCTGAGGTATGAGAATTGCTTGAGCCCAGGAGTTCAAGACCAGCTTGGGGAACATACGGAGACCCTGTCTGAACACCCCTCCAACCCCTGACAAAACCCCTACATTATCAAAGAAATAGGTCCATGCTATTTACCAAGACACAAACCTATGTGAGCCTCCATTTCTGGCTCATTTACACTGATAAGTCCAAGCCTCTGATGACTTGATTATTTCCCCTAAGCTAGTTCTGCCTCTGCATTTATGAATCCATAATGAAATCTGTATCTTTATCACAAATCTTTTCATTTTTTCTTATTTGCATTAGGATATTTATTGATTTTTTTCGAAATGACTAGTATAGGTAATTCATATTATCTATGAATTTTATTTCAAGATAAGGAAGCAATACAAAATACTTGTTATTAAAAAGGGTCCTTGGGTGTGATGGGGTTAACTACTGATTTAGAGCATTTGAAATGCCAATATAAAAATACTGGAATGGGAAAACTCTTTTTGCATATTGCAAGGCAGAAAATAGCAGCAGTGTAGAGCCATTTAAACATAATTTCACAGCCATAACCAAATGCAAACATTTTTATAATATTGATATCTATTTAAGTCATGTTAAATCAAATGATATTCTTCAGTAAAGAGACAAGGACAAAGCTAAAATTTATTAGAAATTCTCCTGTTCTTCAAAGCAAACTCAAACAAACTGACATATACCTACTTTTAGATTTATGTAAAAAACAGATTCTTGGCTGGGTACGGGCATGGTGGCTCACGCCTGTAATCCCAGCACTTTGGGAGGCCAAGGCTGGAGGATCACTTGAGGTCAGGAGTTAGAGATCAGCCTGGCCAACACGGTGAAACTCTGTCCCTACTAAAAACACAAAAATTTGCTTCGTGTGGTGGCAGGCACCTGTAATCCCAGCTACTTGGGAGGCTGAGGCAGGAGAATCGCTTGAACCTGGGAGGCGGAGCTTGCATTGAGCCGAGATGGCGCCACTGCACTTCAGCCTGGGCCACAGACTGAGACTCTGTCTCAGAAAAACAAAATAAAACAAACAACACATTCTTGGTCCTACAGCTAGCACCTTGGCTTTGAAGGACATCGGACATCAACACCATCCTTGAGCTTTTGGGCTCTTACCTCTTTCAGGATGCCTGTGTGTTTTGATTTTGCTTTTAGGATTTTCTGAAATTCCTCAGATTCCAGATAGGCAAGTTGTTCTCTCCTTTTTTTCCTGGCAGGCTCCAATTCATCCTCAGCTAGGGCACAAGGAACAAACATTAGCAGCGACCAAGAAATTTCAGAAAGCCAGTGCGCCTCATCAACTCTACTCCCTCCCACTCCCTCCTCCTCTGCCTACCAGCCCTTCAAACTTGACCTACCCCCGCTGGTCCCAGCAGGGAAAAGCTCTCAGAGGTGAGCCAAGAAGCTGAGCCTAGAATGTGGGGTGGTGGCAGATTTTACCACTAAATAGAATCTCTTTTTCACCTTCAAATAGGCAGCTGACGATAGTAACAGATAACAACAGTGTAAATAATGTTGACAATTATGTTAAAATGATATTGCCAACTTCAGAGTTTTAAAAATAAAGATATGGCAATTTAAAACAAAGGAATTCTAGTTCTGTCAAAGTAAATCTTTATGCTAATATATATATGTACAAAGATCCAATGAGCAATCCTATTCCCAAGTATTCAAATTGTGCCCAATTTCATTCCAATTTAATGTAATTATAAAAAAATCAGTTCCAGCTCACGTCTGTAATCCCAGCACTTTGGGAGGTCAAGGCGGGCGGATCATGAGGTCAAGAGATCGAGGCCATCCTGGCCAACATGGTGAAACCCCATCTATACTAAAAATACAAAAAATTAGCTGGGCGTGGTGGCGCGCGCTTGTAGTCCCACTTACTCGTGAGGCTGAGGCAGGAGGATCGCTTGAACCCAGGAGGCAGAGGCTGTAGCGAGCCAAGACTGCGCCACTGCACTCTAGCCTGGCAACAGAGCAAGACTCCATGAAAAAAAAAAAAAAAATCAGTTCCACCCATAGAAATTCTATTTAGGTATTCTATATAGGAGGAAATGGAAGTAATTGCTTGATATCTGGGTGCTGGTTTGGGTTTAGAACATATTTCCCTTAGAAACAGTTTCTCTTTCCCACTGTTAACTGTGAAACTGCAGTACCTTGAGAAGAAAACATGGTGTTTTTTTCTACACGTTCCTTCACCTCCAGGATGTCCTGAGGGTCCTTTTGTTTCTTCTTAATGCTGTTTGGGTTTGTTTTTGTAAGAACCTGGCCTTTTGCCCTTAATTTGGTGATAGCAGCTAACTAGAAAAAAGGGAATGAGAGGGAGGTAAAGATCTAAAAGATGACAGAGGCACTTATAGACCTGGATCCCTTTTTTATTAGTAACCAGTGAATTCTGGCTGTTCTCTGACAGAAATTGGCAGAACATATCTTAATTTTACTTAGTATTATTAACACAATTACTAGAATATAATAGCATGGGAGACAGGTCTATATGTTGATGAATAAAATCTTAGTTTATTTAAATATAACAAGTTTGACATCAGCAAGACTGCAGGCTTCCAGATCCATAAAGGAGCCACATCACCATTTTGGAAGTTTTAGAATCAGAGAGAATTAAGATAAAGTTCCAGCCAGCTCTGCCACGGACTAGCTTGTAACCCAAGGAAAATTACTTAATTTTTCAAGTATAAAATGGAAATGGGGCTTGGCATGGTAGCTCATTGTAAACCCAGCACTTTGGGAGGCTGAAGCAGGTGGATTTCTTGAGCTCGGGAGTTTAAAACCAGCCTGAGCAACACAGTGAGACTTCATCTGGGCATGGTACAAAATTAGCTGGGCATGGTAGTGCATGCCTGTAGTCCCAGCTACTCAGGGGACTGAGATGGGAGGATCACCTGAGCCCAGGGAGATGGAGGTTTCAGTGAGCTGTGATTGCACCACTGTACACCAGCCTGGGAGACAGAGTGAGACCCTGTCTCAAAACAAACACACAAAAAAAGAGAAGGAAATGATGATATAGCATTGACCTACCTTTGAAGGTCATGGTTGTATGGATGAAATAAGATAATATCTGCAAAGTATGAATCTTTACATAGCAAATACATTCCTGGCCGGGCGCAGTGGCTCATGCCTGTAATCCCAGCACTTTGGGAGGCTGAGGCAGGTGGATCACTTGAGGTCAGGAGTTCGAAACCAGCCTGGCCAACATGGTGAAACCCTGTCTCTTCTAAAAATACAAAAATTAGTCAGGCATGGTGGTGGGCACCTGTAATCCCAGCAATTCGGGAGGCTGAGGCAAGAGAATTGATTGAACCCAGGAGGCAGAGGATGCAGTGAGGCGAGATCGGACTACTGTATTCCAGCCTGGGTGACAGAGCGAGACTCCATCTCAAAAAATATATATATAAATAAATAAATAAACATAGTAAATACATGGCACACACATATCACAAGTACTGAGTAATATGGACATGTGCCATGGTTATTGTAGGTATTCCTGTTGTTATTATTATAGGTAAGGTTTTGGCATACAGCAAGCTTTGCCCTTCATTTGGCTGCAGCTGCTAACTTAAGGGAAGAGAGAGGCTCGATTGGGGCACTCAGGAAGTGGGCAGGTGGGGCTCTGGGTGCCCTACCCCTACTTCAGCCGCAGCAACTCAGCTTTCACCTGTCATGGGACTGGACTTTTGTGTAAGATTTCTTTTAAAGGATTCTTGGTTAGGCACAGTGGCTCATGCCTGTAGTCCCAGCACTTTGGGAGGCTGAGGTGGGACTGCTTGAGTCCAGGAGTGCAAGACCAGCTTGGGCAGCAAAGGGAGGCCCCCATCTCTACAAAAAATACAAAAATTAGCCAAGGCGTGGTGGCATGTGCCTGCAGTCCCAGCTACTACTTGGGAGGCTGAGGCAGGTGGATGAATCGATCCTGGGAGGTTGAGGCTGCAGTGAACCATAATTGCACCACTGCACTCTAGCATGGGTGACAGGGGGATAGTCTGTCTCAACAAATAAAAAATAAAACCGCCAGGCATGGTGGCTCACACCTATAATCCTAGTACTTTGGGAGGCCGAGGTGGACAGATCATTTGAGGTCAGGAGTTCGAGACCAGCCTGGCCAACATGGTGAAACCATGTCTCTACTAAAAATTAGCCGGGCGTGGTGGTAGGCGCCTGTAGTCCCAGGTACTCGGGAGGCTGAAGCAGGACAATCGCTTGAATCTGGGAGGAGGAGGTTGCAGTGAGCCGAGATTGCGCCACTGCACTCCAGTCTGGGTGACAGAGTGAGACTCCTTCTCAAAAAATAAATAAATAAATAAATAAATAAATAAATAAATAAATAAACGTAAAAAAAGGATTCCTTAAACCACCATTTTACAGTCTCACCTCAACAATTCCAAGCATTGTTTTCCTACTGTCAATGCCTCTGGTTATAAAACACTATCTTCCTCTAGGCTACCTCTTGTAGCCTGACAAGAAAAAGTGTTGAGATAACAGATCTAACTTTCTTTTAGTATTATGTTGACACTACCATGTTTTCAAATTACACTGACTCTAATGATCACGATCAATAAAGAGCTATTAGGTGTCTGTCTTTCCTCCAGCTCTGCTCTACAGAATGCAAACTCAAGTGCTAAAGAGAAGAGATGCCAGTTACCTTTTTGGCTTCTGCTAAAGCACTCAGTTTTGGTCTTGGTGGTGGTGACTCATCATAAAAGAGAACATCATCTCCTTCCAAGACACCTCGCCCCAGCTTGGGCGTCATTGTGGCCGGGGCTCCCTCCAGCCTGGGGAACTCGGATCCTGTCCGTGGAGGCTGAGCAGGGGGCTGTCTTGATGAAGATGGCACAGCTGGGCTCTCAACTTCACTTGAGCTCTGCAGAAATCTTTAAAGAACATACAGTCAAAATACGCAAACAGGGTTTACGAAAATAAAAACTCTAGAACTCAAAGTGGACTGGGAGGCGGCAGGCAGGCCACCAGTTGGGAGCTAGTTGTTAGCAAAATAATGTCCCCTTCTAGGCTGGTAATTCAAATTTGCACACGATAAGAACAATACTAGCTTTACTAACTCCTCCTTAATTGAGTTTTCTTTGAATAAGCTGTAATTGTCCTAACACTTTAGAACTGATAACTGTTTTTATCAATTGGCTGTCCAGTGGATGTCATCCACAAGGAACACAGCTGAAGACGCGGTGTGAACTGTATTCCCACCCCTACCGTCAGCTCTAGGGCCTGTAGGAACTCATTGCACCTCCCTGCATCTTTGTTTATGCTACTGGGAAGAGACAATACATGTGAGACATTTGGAAGTCATTAATGAAAAACACTGTAACTTGCAGCGATTATTTTACATCCCCTTTCTTTTTTTTGATTTTTTTGAGACAGAGTCTCGCTGTGTCACCCAGGCTGGAGTGCAGTGGCATGATCTTGGCTCACTGCAACCTCTGCCTCCCAGGTTCAAGTGATTCTCGTGCCTCAGCCTCCCAAGTGTTGGGATTATAGGCGTGAGCTATCATGCCTGGCAAAAAATAGTTTTAAGAGCTATTTTACTTTTGTTTTTGGAGACAGGGTCTTGCTTTGTCACCCAGACTAGAGTGCGTTGGCACGATTGCGGCTCGCTGCCACCTCTGCCTCCCAGGCTCAGGTGATCCTCCCACCTCAGCCTCCCGAGTAGCTGGGTCCACAGTGTGCACCACCATGCCCAGCTAATCTTTGTACTGTTTGTAGAGACAGGATTTCGCCATTTTGCTCAGGTTGGTCTCAAACTCCTGGGCTCAGGCGATCTGCCTGCCTCGGCCTCCCAAAGTGCTAGGATTACAGACATAAGCCACCAAGCCAGCCTCATAAGAGATATTTAAAAACAAATAACAAACCCCAGAAATCATCTAGTCCAAACTTCTCATTTGATCGATGAAGAAACTGAGGCCTAGGATCACATTACTCACAAGGGCCAGACTCAGGATTAGAGCCAGGCCATCCCAGAGCAGTACTCTTCCCAACCGCACAGCCACTCTTGCAAGCTCTAGGCTGTGTTTGCAAACTGCCTATCAAATCCTACGCAAAGATAAGGTTTCCTTGGCCAACAAAATTCTGAAAATTTTCATTACGCAATGCCTTCAAGCTGATGGGCATTCTCTATTTCCCACGAGGCCCCCAACTCCATACATATTTCTGTGTCCACGTATATAATTTATGTCATCTGTAGGCTCAAGATGAATAGCTCTATAGATATCCCACCGGCACTTCAAACTAATCTGCCTGAGACCAAACCCATTCTCTTACTTTCCCAAAGAATTTCCTCTTGTCTTATCATTGACTCCCTTTCATGGATGTGGTTGCCTTTCAGCAGCCCAGATTCGGGATGGCAAAAGGTTCAGCACCAGAGCACAACATGTGTGAGCCCAAAACTCGGCCCCACCATAAACTAGCTCTCTGATCTCCAGGCACACTATTAGTAAAACAAGGCTGAGAAGCCTCCGGAGGCTCAGATACTGTGTTTATGGAGTACGTATGAAGTGCCTGTGAACCGCAGCTCTCATTAGTATTCAGGTGACCTGAGTTCAGGAATCATTCATTTGTCCACCTACCCTATGCATTTCCACTTGATTTTTTTTTTTTTTAATTATTGGCTGAAGCCAAGTAACACATTTCCACTTGCTTTTGCCTCTAAAATGACTCTCCATTTTTAGTGCTTCAGTTTTGTCCTTTATCCAAAGAACTGTATTCTACTCACTGGCTCTGCCTGTCATAAAAAACTGAATTGCGGCAAAACCCAGAAATGGCAGCCAGGCAAATCCAGGCTTGCGTCCAGGAATTTGAGACCAGCTTGGGCAATATGGCAAAACCCAGTCTCTATAAAAAAATACAAAAATTAGCCAAGCATAGTGGCACATGCCTGTAGTCCCAACTACTTGGGAGGCCAAGGCAGGAGGATCATTTGAGCCTGGGACATGGAGGTTGCAGTGAGCCGACACTGCAGCATTGCACTTCAGCTGGGGTGACAGAGTGAAAACCCGTCTCAGAAAAAAAAAAGAGAGAGAGAGAGAAAATGACAGCCAGCATGTGAACCTACGCTCTCCCCCTTCACAAAAACCCTCTTTACATACACTTCACTCCTTTCCCTTTTCCATGGTGATAACGACTCTAACCTGTACCATTTGGTGTTGGGAGTCACCAGTGTAAGAAATAATACAGCCTTAAATGCTATTCAGGTTATGGGAAAACTATTTTAAACTTTCAGAGTTAAAACGCAGCCAACCGAAACCTGAAGTCACATTCTGGAAATCGATGAAGACGTTCTGAGGACGCCTGAGATGGATGACCCAAGCGGGGAATATTAAATCTGCTCCTCTTACCGCTTCTGTATTTCTTCTGATTTCCTTCTCCTCATCTCCAACATCCGCTGCTTCTGTTGCTTCAAGAGTGCTGAGGCCGAGATGGACTTGATGGCTGGTTTTGGGCTCCCCATAATCCCTGAAACAGAAGCCCAGACTGAGGGGGTGCCCTGGGAGGCTGAGGGAACACAGGGACACACGTGTGGCCATGCAGCTGATGGTACCTGAAGCTGTGGCTTTGGCTAAATGTTGTTTTAAGTTCCTGGCTCCACACGTCGGCAGGTCCATCAGTTCCTTGAACTCCTCAGAGCAAGACAGGCTCTTCTGGGGTATTCCTGTGCCAGGTCAACACCAGCTTTAGAGGATTCACATTCAGATGGTTTGAGGTCATATGACATACCACTTTCTAAACTCTGCACTTGTAATTTTAGTCATACGTAAACGAAGAAGACGGAATCCCAAGAGGAAAGAAAAGAATCCTTAACCTCTATCATCAGACTCATAGGATGGCAGGGTATCTCGACTATATTTTATTTCTAGTAATGATTAGAATATTAAGCCCTTAAATCTGGGGGTCATTCCATACCCTGTTTCTGGAATATCCGCTAAGGATAAGGGTCCCTGACCACAAGCCCAGGATGGGGGCTGCATTCTCTGATCAAGACTTGTTTTTATTTGTTTTTATTTTATTAAAAATTTTTTTGTTTTTATGACCAAGACCCATTTTAACAAAAGATAACCAATAAGCTTGGCCAGGAAGATAATACTGCT